>NC_000013.11:74923257-75074772 GCF_000001405.40 Homo sapiens | reverse complement strand
CAGCTTTTAGACAGGCTACATTATTATTTTAAAGAGATAAAGCAATTAGTTTCAATGGAGGTGGCAAGGTATTTTGGGGGCCAGAGTAAAATTCTAATGAGACATTGAGAAAAGCTTTAAAAAGAAGGTAATATTTTAATGGGTCTTTGAAAGCTGTGTAAAGTCCTCCTTGGGAGAGGGAACGAGACATTCCATGATGAAGATAATGTCTGCGGAAATACCAAGTTGTTGTAGGAAAGCATAAAATCTGTGTATTGGAACATAAGTTTTATGACTCCATGTGGTGGGAAATGAAGATGAAAAGATTTTTTATAACTACTGCTATTTATTGAATGCTTAGTAAATGCCAGGCATTGTACAATTATCTTAATTGTTGCAACAAAGTTTAACTGCATTCATCATTATAGCCAAGGATGAATAATAAAAGAAGATCGCGAAAAGAATCCTAGTCAAAATTGTTACTTAAAGGATAAGCAGAGAAATAGAAGACTAAAATATGAATGATCATGGGTAGTAGAGACTCAGCAGAAATCAGGGTTCCAAAGCAGAGGAGAAATATTTCTAAAAAGTAGGTGTAGGCAACAATGCCAAACTTCAGTACTTTGAGGACTGAGAAGAGAGAGTAAGAGCTAACCTTTAGGAGGCCATTGTTGACATTTTGGGAGAGCATCTTCCGTCAAATATTGGAAATAGAAATGACAGTACAGGAGGCTTCAGTGAATGTATGATGAGGAGGAAGAACCAGTAGAGAACCAGCTGTTCTTGAGGATTAATAGCCCTTTAAAGAAGGAAATGGGAGACTGACTCAAGTTGTCAACAACAGCTGAGAATCTAACAAATGAAGAGGGAGGAAAAATAAAGACAGAAGGATTGATCTATGAGAGATAAAAGATCACTGATGCAGGCAAGTCTGTGGGAGGGGATGGGCTCTAAAGCCAGGTGAAAGAGTTGGGGTTGGTAGGGAGGGAGACTGCACCAAGGCAGAGCTGGAGGGAGGTCTTAAATGTAGATGTGATTCTAAATTGATTTCTTGTTTTTACTGTTTTGCACCACGTCTCCCTATATTTCTGTAGGGGTAAGCAGCCAAATCAAATAACTAGATTATTGTAATAATTCCAATGCAGCCCTGTAGGATCCTGAGTTTGCTCCCAGTCTTTGGCCAGAATCAATAGTTCCAGCCAGGACTTCTTTATGAAGTAGCTGTAGCTTCCCTGACTATAGGAAGTTGCTAGGGTAATGTAGAAATATGACTCGTGCATCAGGTCAGCTATGTTTATGTCTAGAAGCCCAGCATGGACAAAATAGGACATAGTATGAAACACCGGCTATGCAGGGCCTTACGTGTGCCTTAGCCCCCACCCCTGACCCACTCTCTGAACAAATAGTGGATCCCTTAATTATAACACCAATCACTTCAAATAAGAAGTTTAATCATTCAGCCATCCCATAATATTCCCCGTGTGTGCGGTTGCTCAGAAGCACAGAATTCTGTCCAAGTGCATTCACCCTATAGTCAGCAATCGCTACATACAATTAATGCTGGACTCCGTTTTTGGCATGCTACAGTTAATTTTTTTTTGTAGGGGACAGTTTTTCCTTACTTAATTGAAATCTACTCTTCAGGCAAGGAAAAGAACTCACTAATTTTCGAAACATAAGAACAGATGCTGTGTTAGGGCTGGCTTCATGAACTGGAAACGAAACATAAATTACATGGTGTTATTTGAGTGCCTCGCCAAGCAGTAAACTGTCTTCTCTCACTTATCTGCTGTCTAGTACCTCAAACACTGGCATTAGAAAAAACAAAAAATGAGGTGGATGGTGGTGCCGAAGGAGTCCTAATCAGTTAACCCTATAGAGAAATTCCTTTAAATATAGTATTTCTCAAGATATTCCACTTTATTCAATCAGACCCTCAAAAGCTCCAAGGAAAGACCCACCCCCCATTTCATAGATGAATAAACTGAAGTTTAGAGGTTTAGTGACAAACCTATTTGAGGAAGTGGCTAAAACAGAAGGACAAGCCAGGTGTTTGCAGTTCTCAAAGCTTCTTATTCAACCCCTCACTTAATGGAGAAATGAATTTGCCTAAGAGGCAGGACAAAATGTTCATGGGAACATAGGCTTTATAGCCAGGTTTGAAGCCTGGTATCTCTGCTTCACATTAAGAGTTACCATTTTTTGAGCACTTAAAATGTGTCAGGCACCATGCTGTTTGCTTGACAACTGCTCTCACTTATCTATCATACACAGAGCTGCAGGGTTGACAGTATTATCCACTTTTTAATAAATACAAAACTGTTACTCAAAATGATTAATTCACTGGAGATGGGCCAGCTAATGGGTGATGGAGTCAGGATTTGAACCCTAGTCTGCCTGGTTTACTCCATTCTGCTTTGCTGGAGTTTGTAGCTAACATGCCATGTGACTGTAAGAAATTCACTTTAGCTTCAGCCTCTTTATCTTTTGAATGGATATTTTAGCACATACCTTGTAGTATGTTTTGACAATTAAATCAGCATACAAAGGAAGCATCTACTATAATATCTTTAGCTGCTTCAACAGCAGTCATGGGCCTATTTGTCGCTCTAAGTTGCTCGGTTAGTTACCGTTGGAGCTGGAGCTACACGCTAGGTTTTCTGATTTCCAATTTTCCTTACGTTGCTGTGCAATGCTGAGAGAAGAGTCTTGTGAGGCAGACAAAGAAACACAAGGAGGAGGAAGAGCAAACAGGACAGAGTAAAAGGGAGAGTTGGCAGTGACAGTCATAAATGTAATGATGGGCACATGGCTAATCAAGAAGGGACCCTTGGGGCGGATTCAGTCATGTGTGCAGAGGAATGGCTGTGAAGCAGAAATAGCCCCAGTGGGAAGGCAGGCATTGATGGATGTGAAAGCAAGCAGAGCCATCCTTTGGCTTAATTTCCCATTTATTTGACTTGAGGTAAACTAGAAGAAAAGATCCATTTAAAATGGATTTCAAATTATGAAATTAAAGAAGCTGCAAATTGCAGGTATAGAAATTACAGATGATCTGACCACATCCAACTACAGAAAGGATCAAATAAATATGATTAAAAGATAATTGGAGTTTAAAACGGATATAGTGATTGTAAGAAAGGACCAGGCTGTTTTGAATGAGTTCACTCATCCATTTCCTGTTCATTAAGTACTACTCAGCCCCAGCCAAATGGGAGGCACCGTGATAGCAGTGAGCCATACAGAACTGAATAAAGAATGGCCCTTTCCTCAAAGAGTTCAGTTTCTGGGAGTGAAACATATGGACACAAGTAGTTATGATATGGCATGAAAAGTCCTATTAAAGAGCCTTGTACAGAGCATTGTTGGAGAACAGAATAGGAACATTTAATGTAGCCTTGAAGAGCAGTTTAGGAAACACTTCACTCGTGAGTTAAAATGATCATTTTCTTGAAGGATCAGTAGCAGTTATTCTAATGGAAAAGAGGGGGAAGTTTCTTCCAGAAATAAGAAATAAATACAAAGACACAGAAACATCCTGTGCTCAAGGATACGCAGGATGTTATGGCTGCGGTGTTGGCTCCATGAGGAGAAGTGGTAGAAGGTGACACTGAGAGCAGATGTTAGGAGTTTGGAATTCTACCTGTGCATGATGGGACAGAGCAGCAAAAGCAGGTAGACTTAGGTCTCTGCATTTATCTAGGTGAGAGGAGAAGCCCTGAAAGAAGGAAGCAGAATGAAGAGAAAGGCCAGAGAATAATATCTTTAGCCTCTTCAACACTGTTTTTTTCTTTAAGGTCCCATGTAACTTGCTATTTAAATTACTTGAATAAATGTTCCTATGTACTGTAACTAGTTATTTCTAAGTATGTACCCAAATAAAAGAATTATTTTTTTAGATCACTGGGCAGCAGCTTCCTTCATTAGTCGACTTCTTTGTCCAGTCTTCCTCTGCTGTCTTCTGCCTGGCCCACTGTCCTCCTCTCAGCTCCTTCAACAGCTCTAGGCCCTCACCTCTTCCCCAGCCCAGTCCCTGACTCCAAAATAGGGGGAAGGATAAGCACGGAGCTGGTGGGAGAGATCCTCTGAAATGGGTGAATATTTCTGTTGGGAAAAATGTAGACTAAACCAAGGCCAGGCCCCATGGGTTGGTGGAACACTGAATCACAGTTTTGGTAATATGGCTCCACTTTGCAGAGCAGAGTTACAGTTGGGAGGCAGCAGTCCTGACAAATCTATGTAGGAAGTCAACTCAGCTCAAAGGTTCTGAAGCTCATTCAGGTCTATATTAAGAGGCAACAACACCAACAGCTCCTGATTTAGAAGGTGCTAAGTAGAGGGAAGCATGAGAGCCAGGAGCAACTAATTACATTTACATATACATATACATATGTATGTATATGTATAGATATAAAATGATAATGTATGTTTAACATTTAAATGTTAGTAATTTACTTTTTTGTATTGTAACATTTAGAAATATTTTACTTGCAATAAAATGCACTATTTCGTTTAGTTGCTTATCCAGAACTCATAATATTAAATAAATCACCTTAGAAGATAAAACACCAGTATTACTATAGGTATCTTAATATTAGATATAGAAATACAATGGCAGTTGCTTTGCTCTGGTATTATAATCACTAAATGAAACAGCTTTCCTGTTTGAGGAATTGCCGTATGTTATGGAGAATGGTAGATATTCCAGAAAAGTAGGGTGGACCCAATTTCTAAAAAGCGGGTAAAAAAATGTAAAAACTATAGATTGACAATTCCTAGCCTTATTTTGGAATGAGAAGAATACAGGAAAATCTAAACAAAACTAATTTGATTTCCTTTTTGGAGATGCTTTGAAATTCTATAGACCAAAAGAATGCTGTGGATTTAGATATTTTCATTTCAGTAGAATGACATTTGAAATTTCTTCATACAACTAACAAAGGGATGATAGTTCCATTAGGTGGCATTTAGACCTGACTGACCCATCTGTCACTTAGAGCAACAGACAGCGAGCTTTTGCTATACATTTCCAGAAAGCAAATAGTGTTGGTTTTATGGCCCATGGTCACTGATGCAACTACTCAAGTCTACCACTGTAGCAGAAAAGCAGCCACAGATAGACATAAATGAATGAACATTCCTGGGTTTCCAATAAAACCTTAAAACCTGCTTTACAAAAACAAATGGCAGGTCACATTTTGCCTGCAGCTTGCAGTTTACCTCCATGGCTTAGAGTGTTAAATAACTGGTTGAGATCAGCCTGGACTAATGTTTTCAGTGACATGATGTAGGGTCCCAACTGTGACTGTTTTGTTCGAAATATTATTTACAATGTTGATGAGATGGAAGGCAAGTTTATCATATTTGTGAGCAATAAGCACTGATAAGAAACAGTTAAACTTTTAGAAGACAAGGTTCAAAATGGTTTTGAGGGACAAGTAGTGAGCAAAAATAAGAAAGAGAAAATTTAGTAGGGCTAAATGTCAAGTTGTACACTCAAATTAAAAAAGAGCCCTAGATGTATGGGGGGGCTTTGCCTGACAATAATTCATGTGAAAAAAAATCTCTGTGTCACTGACCAAACTGTTTATAGTCAGCCAGTGATGTGAGGTGGTTACCAAGAATGCTGAGGATACCTTTGGCCGCATTAACAGAGCACAGTGTCCAAGGCAAGGGCAGTTGTGATCACATTGGGTTTGGCATGGACCAGAGTCCCCTGGTGGGCTGTAATCAGTGTTAGGTATCATGCCTTATTAAGTATTTTGCCATGTAAGACAAATAACCATTGGTTTGGAGAAAGATATAAAAATCCAAGATGTTTATTCCTAGAACTGATGTATATACTTTATAAATATGTGTTTAGTGGAGAAGATATTTAATTTTTTTGAATTGTTGAAAGCTGTCATTTGGGGAGTTGTAAAAAATTTCTGCCTTTTTTAGAAGAGATGGGGATGGGGTTGTTCCAGGAGGAAATATATTGAAAACCATTTTTAGTCATATATGACCTAATTTTAGTTTGGGAAGCTCTAAATTGGCGAATTAATTCAAATGAAGATATTTTTGACTGAGATCTTAAGGGTATCGTTTAGGAAGGTGAACTTGGATATAGTAGAAGAACCCTGGCATTAAAGAATTAGCTAATTTTCTCCCAATCTGAACTCAAACCTGAATTTTGACTGCTGTATGCTTGAAAATTACTTTTTTGAAGGGGGAGATATATGTGTGATATATGTGTAGGTACATATGTATGTTCTTACCTAAGTAAGACTCTGTTTACTAGGGATTGGGAGTTAAGGCTAGAGTAGAAAGACTATATTAATTTGGAAGACAGGCTGTGACTTGAACTTGAACTGGACTTAGTCAGTTAAGTACCACCTGGCCTGTCTCTGTATGTTCTCGTGCTACTGGAGATACATAATCCTGGACTATTGTGATATTCTTGTCCTGATTATATAGCTCAGTTCACATCCTTATGGACAGGAATGGAGTTTCCCCTGAATGGAATGAATGGTCCCTCTGTCAACAATCCTGAGAAAAAAACAGGCAAGCCTTGGTCTGGAGGAAGGAAAGATTCTCTATTCTTCTGGGGTTGAAGAGAGTTCGGGCTAGAGCTGCTCTGGGTGAAGACTTCTACTTCATTTGTTTGGGTTGACCTGGACGTATGAATTATTTGCAGGAAGTTTCCAGGGACTTAGGTTCGGGTTGGCCTGGTGGGCACTAAGGCCCACACGCTTTTATTGGAAGTTGTTAGTTCTCTGTGTTGCTGTCTGTTATCCCCGGGCCTTCTGTAATACCTAGCTGAAACTATAACTTGAGCTCAGCAGGTCTTTGAGAATTAAAAAAGATATATGTGGAAAGTGGCAGTAACCTGAAGAAGTTAGTTATGAGTTGGCAAAAGGTAAGCTATAGGAAGGGAAGAAGCAATCTAAAGTGAGACAATTGCCCAAGATGACATACATCAAAGAGGATAAATTTGTGGAACAAGTGGTACTTCCCTGAAATTCCCAGAAATATCCAGAAATCACAAGGAATAATTTTCATTAAAAACTGTACTTCAAGTGGTCTTAAATCACTGGAACTTGATCTCTTGCTATTTGAGTACTAAAAGGAGGAATGGGCATCCATTTTGAGTGTGGCAGAGGAAAGTTGTATTTCCCTTTCTCCACTCAGAAATTATTCAATAAAAAACACAAGGAGGATGACATACAATTCTGTCTCTGACAAAACCAGAAAACATCTGAAACACTGACCACATCAAATACTATCAAAGAGCTATCAAATGCCGTGAAAATCAGGTAGAGCTGGTGGAAGAGAGAATACTATTGGTTACAGTCCTAAAGGGCCAGCAAAGCACACTTTTCCAAGGTAAGAGGTACTTTTCTTCTTTTCAGAAATGCGTAGAAGGTACATAACTTGTGGGTGGGAGACTTAGAGAGGTTCCTCTCTGAAGGAGGCAATGCTAAGTGGAGAATCACACAGACAAGCCCTATCAGCTTGAGGCAGTCTGGTCATGGGGCAGGAAACTTGATGGAGAGATGAGACTCTTTCCATAGTGAATATTTCCAGTGCTGCCTGCCTATCTAAGTAGGATGGAAGTAAATGCTGAAGAACCTAACTGTATTACTAGTGAGATATAAAATAGCACAACTGCTTTGGAAAAAGTTTGTCGATGTTACATAGTAAAACATACAACTATCATTCTGCTCCTAGACATTTACCATAGAGAACTGAAAGTCTATGCCCAATAAAGACTTGGGAGAGGTATACATGGCAGCTTGATTTGTAACAATCTTGAACTGGAAACAGCCCAAATGTCTATCAACAAATAAATGGATCGATGAATTGTGGTATGTCCTTAAAATACTACTCAACAATAAAAGGAAAGATACACCCACCAACATGGCCAAATTTCAAAATATGGTTTCCTGGCATAATGTATGAGGTGTGGAGGGGTAGGAAGAAGACATTATAAAGCAACAAGAACAAATTTTGTGGATTATGAATATGTCTATTATTTAGATTTTTATGATAGTTTTACGTGTGTGTGTATGTATATATGTGTGTGTATATATATATACACACATATATATGAAATTATATGTACATGTATCAAATTACATACTTCAAACATTAGTTAACTGTATATAAATTATACATCAATAAAACTATTTGAAAATAATAGGGCTGTGATACCTCTGGACTAAATACGGTGATTGATTATAATTCAATTGAGAGCAAGTAATTTGATTTCCTGCGTTGTTTTAGAATAACTAACATTCATCAGAATACCTGTAATAATGAAATTTAAGTTGAATTTCAATGTCATATTTTAAAAAAAATATTCTCATGCTTCTGAAGGACTTACATGCTATGAGAACTGTTGCCATTTCAGCTTTATTTCTTACTTGGCTGAGGAGAATAAACAGCCTTAAGAGGCAAGAGATGTTTGTTTGGTTTGGTTTGGTTTTGGTTTTTAATGCCCATGCCCATCCTCCATCTCTTTATGCCTAGAACAACAGTGCTTTGATGATAGTGGATGTTTGATAAATGCCTTGACTTCGTGTATAATTAAAGGGCCTAAATAAAGGGTCTTAGTTGCTTATTAAAACATCTGGGAGTGTAAATTAGTTCAACCATTGTGGAAGACAGTGTGGCGATTCCTCAAGGATCTAGAACTAGAAATACCATTTGACCCAGCCATCCCATTACTGGGTATATACCCAAAGGATTATAAATCATTCTACTATAAAGACACATACACACGTATGTTTATTGCGGCACTATTCACAATAGCAAAGACTTGGAACCAACCCAAATGCCCATCAATGATAGACTGGATAAAGAAAATGTGACACATATACATCATGGAATATTATGCAGCTATAAAAAAGGATGAGTTCATGTCCTTTGCAGGGACATGGATTAAGCTGGAAACCACCATTCTCAGCAAACTAACACAAGAACAGAAAACCAAACACCATATGTTCTCACTCATAAGTGGGAGTTGAACAATGAGAACACATGGACACAGGGAAAGGAACATCACACACCAGGGCCTGTCAGAGGGTTGGGGGGTATGGAGAGGGATAGCATTAGGAGAAATACCTAATGTAGATGATGGGTAGATGGGTGCAGCAAACCATCATGGCACATGTATACCTATGTAACAAACCTGCATGTTCTGCACATGTACCCCAGAACTTAAAGTATTAAAAAAAAATCTACTGATGGGGAAAACTCTACTAAGAGTATAACATAATCTTAAAATATAAGATAGAAAACATTCAAAGTAGCAGAATATAGAAGTATTTTCAGCCTTCAGGTAAATATTTTTTCTAGGTAAATTGAACTCTCTGAGTATGAAAACAAAATTTTGTTCTGTTTAGTAAGTTTGATTAAAAGAATGTAGGCATGAGTGGTAAACAGTACAGGTGTTGTTGCTAGTAAGATAAAATGATGCTGGACAAATTGTTTAACCACTGTTGACTTTGTCATTTGATAATAGCAGTATATTCCTTATAGGGTTGTTGTAAGAATCAATGAAATAATGCATGTGAAGTACTATAGTGGATGCTGTGGTATGACCCGAAATCCCCCTTCCTGTCCAAGGCACTTATTTTTCCAGTTGCCTGAATGTTGACTCCTGAGGGCCCACAGCTGAGGCCCTCTTCAGAAATTGTTCTGGACTAAAGGAAGCTGCCTAACCCAAGGATACACCATTCCCCCAGGAGCTGCCTCTATCCAATGACTAGTCCTTGTAGGGATAATGGGCCTAGCTCTCTTTCCACAATTAGGGCAATGTTCAAGGGCAATCCCAGCTCCAGACCTCCCTTTAGGATTGTAGGATTGGCTGAATGTATGGTGCAACTGCATTGCAGTTGCAATTCCCCTTCTGCCCAATACTGCGACCCTTACTCAGAGTTGTTCTTGAGAGTAGACCCTAATAAGTTTCCTGCATGCAAATCTAAGAGTTTAAGCTTCTGTTTTCCAGGAAACCCTACTGCTATGGTTTGAATGATAGTTCCCTCTAAAATTCAGGTTGAAACTTAATCCCCAATGCAACAGTAAGTGTAGCCTGTGGGAGGTGATGAAGTCATGAGGGCTCTGCCCTTGTAAATGGAATTAGAACTCTTATAAAAGGGCTTGAGGTTGAAGGCAATACCCTTCTGCCTTCCATCATGTGAGGACAAGTTGGTTCCCTCTGGAGGACTTGGCAACAAGATGCCATTTTGGAAGCAGAGATTGCAGCCCTTACCAGACACCAATCATGCCAATGCCTTGTTCTTGGACTTCCCAGCCTTCTGAACTATAAGCAATAAATTTCTATTGTTTATAAATTATCCAGTCTGTGGTATTTTGTTATAGCAGCATAAATGGAGTAGACACCTAATTATAACAGTTAGTGCCAGAAGTTGTTATAGAAGGCAGATGCGCTAACTCTGCCAGGATTTTGATTGGTACTGTTTTAAATCAATAGATCAGTTTGGAAGAGAGTTGATATCTTTACATATTGAATTTTCCAATCCATGAGTATGATATATATTTCCATTCATTTCTTTAATGTTTCACCACAAAGTTGTGTGTGTGTATGTGTGTAGTGAATGATAGAAATTTAATTGCACATTCCTGAGTGCTTTATATTTTGGTATTATAAATTGTTATATAGAAATAGAACTGTTTTGTACTATATTAACTATGCATCTCACATTGTTAAATTCATTTCTTAATTCTCATAATTTGAATTTTCTTTGACAGAGTCTTGCTCTGTCACCCAGGCTGGAGTGCAGTGGTGCAATCTTGGCTCACTGTAAGCTCTGCCTCCCAGGTTCACACCATTCTCCTGCCTCAGCCTCATGAATAGCTGGGACTACAGGTGCCCACCACACTCCCAGCTAATTTTTTGTATTTTTACTAGAGACGGGGTTTCACTGTGTTAGCCAGGATGGTCTCGATCTCCTGACCTTGTGATCCGCCTGCCTCAGCCTCCCAACATAATTTTTTAATAGATTGTTTTGGAGTTTTTATGTCACAATCTTGACTGAGATAACAATATTTCTATTTCTTGCTTTCTACTCCTTATAATTTGTGTCTCTTTTCTTACATTATTTCAATCGCAAGGACTCCTATACAATGAAAAAAGGAGTAATATTAATGAACATCTTTGTCCCATTCCTGATTGCAGGAAGAAATCTAATATTTGTCATTAAGTATAATTTCTATAGCTTTAAAATAAATACCTTTTATCATATTAAGGAAGATCATCTATGTGCCTAATTTGTGAAGAGTATTTAACATCAAATGCATTGGGCTTTTATTAAACGCTTTTTTTTTCTTTTTTGCACCTACTGAGATGACCATATAACTTTTCTCCTTTATTCTGTTAATAGAGTAAATTTCACTGATTGGATTTGTGTAAAATGTTTTTTTTTTCTTTTAATGTTGGGAAGAAGATAGTGGTAAAGCCATCTGGTCCTGACGTTTTCCTTGTTAAGAAATTTTAATTACAGATTTAACTTTTAAATAGGTAGATAATTATTCAGATTTTCTGTTTTTCCTGTTTTAGTTTTGTTGTTCTTTCTAAGGAATGTGGGCATTTGAATGTTCAAGTTTATTGTCTTAAAGTTGTTTATCCTCTATACCTTTTTAATGTTTTTAGCATATAGATTATAATCCTTTTTTTTTTTTTTTTACTTCTGATAGTGGTAATTTGTGTTTTCTTTTTCTCTCCTCTCAACTGTTCTATCCTTCCTTCCTCTTTCTTTCCTTACTTTCCTTCCTCTCTTCTTCCCTCCCTTTTTTCTTTCTTTCCTCACTTTCTTTTCTTTTTTCTTTTTTTTTTGAGACAGAGTTTCACTCTTGTTGCCCAGGCTGGAGTGCAATGGCGTGATCTCAGCTCACTGCAACCTCCATCTCCCGGGTTCAAGCCATTTTCCTGCCTCAGCCTCCCTAATAGCTGGGATTACAGGCATGCACCACCACGACTGGCTAACTTTGCATTCTTAGTAGAGATGGGAGTTTTGCCATGTTGGTCAGGCTGGTCTCGAACTCCTGACTTCAGGTGACCCACCTGCCTCAGCCTCCCAAAGTGTTGGAATTACAGGCGTGAGCCACTGTGCCTGGCTCTTTCCTCACTTTCTTTCTTCTTTCCTTCCTTCTCCTCCTTCTTCTCTTTTTCTCTATCATGCTTGGTAAAGCTTATTAATTTTATTTATCTTTTCAAAGAAATAAATTTGTAAGAATTATCCTTATTATACATTTGATCTCTATTTCATTAAATTCTGCTCCTTATTAACTTCTCCCTACTTTCCTCACATTTAACATACTATTCTTTTCTAGCATCTAGAGATGAATACTTAGACGATTAATTTTAAACTTTTCTTCCTTTTCAATATGTTCATTTAAGGCTGTTAATGTTCCTCTGAATATAGGCTTAGCTGTATGTTACAATTTTTTATATCACAGCTTTACTTTTATTCAGTTCAAAGCATTTAACAATTTTCATTGTGATTTCTTTTTCTACTTATGGGTTAATTAGGAGTCTATCACTTATTTTCTAATTATGGACATTCTAATGATATATTTTTTAAAAATACTGATTTCTAGTTTAATACTGTGGTTAAAAAACATGCTCTGTATGAATTCAGTCCTTTCAAATTTGTTTAAAATTTCTGCATGACTCAGTGCATGGTCAGTTTTGGTAAATGTTCTTTCTGTATGTAAAAAGAATGTGTATTCCTCAGTTGTCAAGTGTAATACTGTATATTTGCATATAAAGTCAAATTTGTTAATCACATTGTCATAGTTTGTTTATTGCTAGTAATTTTTGACTGCTTTCTTTTTTGGTTACTGAGAGATGTATGTTGAAATTCTCCAACAATGACTGTGGATTTGTTTATTTCTCCTTTAAATCCATCAGTTTCAGCTTTATATATTTTGAAAACATGTTACTAGACATGCAATAAAAAATTTTATATTTTCCTGTTGAATTGATATGTTTATTGATATTTTATTGATATTGACACTAGTTCTCCTATTATCTTAAAGTCTATTTTGTCTAATATGAATATAGCAATACTGGTCTTCTTTTGGTTACCATTTGTGTGACATATAGTTTTCCATCACTTTATTTTCAACTTTTCTGTATTCTTGTATTTAAAGTGTTTCTAATAAGCAACGTGTATTTGGATTTTATTTTGCTCAGTCTAATAATCTTTGTCTTTTAGTTGTAGTATTTAGTTTATTTTCATTGTATGTAGTTACGGGGTTTAAAACAACATACTTTTTTCATGTGATATTTCATTACATACATAGAATATCTAATAATGATTAAATCAGAATATATAGGGTATACGTTACCCTGAGCATTTATCATTTCTATGTGTGGGAAAATTTTGAGTCCTTCTAGCCTTTTTTGAAATATACGCTATCTTGTTATATCTGCTAATGTTCCATGGCAGGGTCACCCTACTCTGTCATGGAACATTAGAACTTATTCATTCTATCTAACTGTATGTTTTAACTCATTACTCAACCTCTCTTTACCACCCCCACCCCCACCACACAACTCATGCACCCTTTCCAGCCTCTGGTATCTATTATTCTACTCTGTGACTGTATGAAATCCACTTTTTTAGCTCCCTGATATGGGTGAGAACATATGATACTTTTCTTTCTGTGACCAGCTAATTTCACTTAACATAATATCCTCCAGTTTCATGTATGTTGCTGTAAATTACATGATTTCATTATTTTTTATGGCCAAATAGTATCCCATTGTTATATATACCATTTGTCCATTGATAGGCAGTTAGGTTGATTCTGTATCTTTGCTGCTGTAAATAGTGCTGCAATGAACATGGGGTGGGGGGCAGGTATCTCATTGATATATTAATTTATTTTCCTATTGATAAATACCCAGTAGTGGAATTGCTGGATCATACTGTAGTTCTATTTTTAATGTTTTGAGAAATCTTTCTACTATTTTTTACAGTGGCTATAGTCATTTACATTTCTATCAACAGTGTAGAAATGTTCCCTTTTCTCTGCATCTTCACTAGCATCTGTTATTTTTCTTTTTGTATTTACAGTAATAGCTATTCTAACTGGGGTAAGTTGACATCTCATTGTGATTTTGGCTTACATTTATCTGGTGATTGGTGATATTGATCACTTTTTTCATATACCTGTTAGCTATTTGTATATCTTATTTTGAGAAATGTCTATTCAGGTCCTTTGCCCACATTTTAATGGGATATATATCTATATAGCTCTCTATAAATATATATCTATATATGTATATCTATCCATCCCATTATATATATTTACTGTTGAATTGTCTGAGTTCCTTGTATATTCTGGATATTAGTCTCTTGTCTAATGAATAATTTGCAAATATTTTATCCTATTCAACAAGTTGTTTCTTCACTCTGTTGTTTGTTTCCTTTGTTGTACAGAAGCTTTTTAGTTTAATATAGTCCCATTTGTCTATTTTTGTTTTTGTTGCCTGTGCTTTTGAGGTCTTGGCCATAAAATCTTTTTCTAGAATAATGTATTTAAGTGTTTCCCCTATGCTTTCTTCTAGCAGTTTTATAGTTTTGGATCTTATGTTTAAGTCTTTAATATATCTTGACTTGACTTTTGTATATGGTGAAAAACAGAGGTTCAACCTCATTCTGCTGCATATGAATATTCAGTTTTCCCAGAAAAATTTATTGATGAGGGTGTCCTTTCCCCAATGTATATTCCTGGCACCATTGTTTAAAATAAGTTGGCTATAAATATGTGGATTTATTTCTGGGTTCTTTATCCTGTTCCATTGGTTTATGTGTCTGTTTTTATATCAATATCTTGCTGTTTTGGTTACTATAAGCTTGTAATATATTTTAGGTCAGATAATGTGTTGCTTCCAACTTTGTTCTTTTTGCTCAGGATTGCTTTGGCTGTCTGGGCTCTTTTTTGATTCCATACAAATTTTAAGTTTTTTTTTTCTGTTTCTCTGAGATGACATTGATATTTTGATAAGAATTACATTAAATATACAGATTGCTTTAGGCAATATGGTCATTTTAATGATATTAATTTTTCTGATCCATGAGCATGGATGTCTTTCCATTTTCTTATGTCTTCTTCAATTTATTTCATCAGTATTTTATAGTTTTACTTGTAGAGCTCTTTTATTCTCTTGGTTAAATTTATTTCTAGGTATTTTATTTTATTTTTTATTTATAAATTTTTTGAGACAGTATCTCACTCTGTTGCCCAGGCTGGAGTGCAGTGGTACAATCTTAGCTCACTGCAACCTCCACCTCCTAGTGATTCTCCTGACTCAGCCTCCCAAGTAGCTGGGACTACAGGTGCTGGCTACCATGCCTGGCTAATTCTTGTATTTGTAGTAGAGACAAGGTTTCACCATGTTGGCTGGGCTGGTCTCAAACTCCAGACCTCAAGTGATCCACCCACCTCAGCCTCTCAAAGTGCTAAGATTACAGGCATGAGCCACCACACCTGGCCTGGTATTTTGATTTTTTTGTAGCCATTATTAATAGATTGTTTTCTTGGTTTATTCTCAGCTAGTTCTTTGTTAGTATATAGAAACATTACTGATTTTTGTGTGTTGATTTTGTGTCCTGCAACTTTACTGAATTTATTTATCAGATAGAGTTTTTTGGTGAAGTCTTTAGATGTTTTTTAGGTATAAGATCATATTGTCTGCAAAGTGGAACAATGTGATTTTCTTTTTTCCAATTTGAATGCCTTTTATTTCTTTGTCTTTACTGATTGCTCTGGCTAGGACTTCCAGTATTATGTTGACTAGAAGTGGTGAAAATGGGCATCTTTGTCTTGTTCCAGATCATACAGGAAAGATTTTCAGCTTTTTCCCTATTCAGTATGACGTTAGCTGTAAATTTGTTATATATGGCATTTATTATGTAAGAGGTACATTCCTTCTGTGCTCCGTTTGTTGAGAGTTTTTATCATGAAGGGATGTTGAATTTTATCAATGTTTTTTTCTGTGTCTATTGAGAAGATTATATGATTTTTCTCCTTCATTTCATTGATGTGACATAGAACGTTCATTGATTTTCATACACTGAATCATCCTTACATCCCTGGGATAAATTCCACTTGATCATGGTGTATTATCTTTTTGATGTGCTATGGAATTTGGTTTGCTAAAATTATGTTGAGAATTTTTGCATCAATGTTTATCAGTGCTATTTGCCTGTAGTTTTCTTTTGTGTGTGTTTACCTTTTGGAAATGTAATGCTGGCCTCATAGAATGGGTTAAGGAGAATTCCGTCCTCTTAAATTTTTTGTTATAGTTTGAGGAGAATTGGTATTAGTTGTTTATAAGTTTGGTGGAATTCAGCAATGGAGCCACTGGACCTGGGCTTTTCTTTGTTGGGAGACTTTTTATTACTGATTCAATCTTATTATTGATCTAGTCAGATTTTCTATTTCTTCTTGATTCAATCTTTATGGGCTGTCCAGGAATTTATCCATTTCCTCTAGGCTTTCTAGTTTGTTAGCATATAGTTGTTCGTAATAGTCTCTGATGATCTTTTGTATTTCTGTTGTATTAGTTGTAATGTCTCCTTTTTGGTTTCTGATTTTATTTATTTGATTCTTCTTTCTTTTTTCTTTGTTAGTCTAGCTAGTGATTTATTAATTTTGTTTATCTTTTCAAAAAAAAAACTTTTTCTTTCATTGATCTTTGGTATCGTTTTGTTAGTCTCTGTTTCATTTAGTTCTGCTCTGATCTTTATTTCTTTCCTTGTACTAATTTTGGGTTTAGTTTGTTCTTGCTTTTCTACTTCCTTGAGGTGAATCATAGATGGTTTATTTGAATTCTTTCTACTGTTTTGATGTAGGTTTTCATTGCTATAAACTTCCCTCTTAGCACTACTTTTCTTGTATCCCATAGGTTTTGATATGCCGTGTTTCCATTTCCATTTGTTTTAAGATAAAAAAAAATTCTGTCTTAATTTCTTCATTTACCTAATGGTCATTTAGAAGCATGTTGTTTAATTTCCGTGTATTTATATAGTTTCCAAACTTCCTCTTGTATTGATTTCTAGTTTTATTCCATTATTGTCTTAGATGCTTTATATGATTTAGATTTTTTTTTTTTTTTTTTTTTGAGATGGAGTCTTGCTCTGTTACCGAGGCTGGAGTGTTGAGTGACATGATCTTGGCTCACTGCAAACTCCTCCTCCCAAGCTCAAGCAATTGTCATGCCTCAGCTTCCCAAGTAGCTGAGACTACAGGCATGCACCACCACACCTGGTGAATTTTTGTATTTTTATTAGAGATGGGGTTTCACCATGTTGACCAAGCCAGTCTTGAACTCCTGACATCAGGTGATCCACCCACCTCAATCTCCCAAAATGCTGGGATTACGGGCATGAGCCACATGCCCAGCCATGATTTAGATTTTTTTTTTTTTTGAGACAAAGTATTGCTCTGTCGCCCAGGATAGAGTGCTGTGGCATGATCTGGGTTCACTGCAACCTCCACCTCCTGGGTTCAAGCAATTCTCCTGCCTCAGCCTCCCAAGTAGCTGGGATTAAAGGCGTGTGCCACCATGCCTGGCTAATTTCTGTATTTTTAGTAGAGATGGGGTTTCACCATGTTGGCCAGGCTGGTCTTGAACTCCTGACCTCAAGTGATCCGCCTGCCTTGGCCCCCCAAAATGCTGGGATCACAGGCATGAGCTGCTGTGCCCGGCCCATGATGTAGAATTTTAAAAAACTTGTTGAGACTTCTGTGTGACATAACATGGTCTATTCTGGAGAATGTTCCTTGTCCTGATGAGAAGAATATATATTCTGCAGCGGTTGAATGAAATGTTCTGTAAATGTCTGTTAGGTCAATTTAGTCTGAAGTCCAGTTTAAATTTAATGTTTCCTTGTTGATTTTCTGTATAGATGATCCATCTAATGTTGAAAATGGGGTATTGAAGTCTCCCACTATTATTTTATTAAAATCTATCTCTTACTTTAGATCTAGTAATGTTTGCTTTATATATCTACATGCTTCAGTGTTGAGTGCATACGTATTTAGAATTGCTATTTTTTCTTGCTGAATTGATACCTTTATCATTACATGGCCTTCCTTGTCTTTTTTATTATTTTTGATTTAAAGTCTGTTTTATATGATACAAGTATAGGTACTTTTGCTTTTTCTATTTGCCCATACGTTTATAGTTGCCTTTTTTTCTCCTTTCTTATCTTCTTTTGCTGTTATTCCATTTTCCCATGCTATATTAATTTGTTAGTTGTACATGTATTGACTACTCAACTGGTTGTTATCCTAGAGAATTAAACTTGTATACTTGAATTATTATGTATGTAATAAGTTAATTACTTTTACTTCTGACAACTTTTGTGCTATTGTTGTCATTTACATTAAACTTACATATATTTTTAAGCCCCAGGAGAAACTATTATTGCTGTTTGAAACAGTCAATATTTATTTAGATTTATCAACATTTTATCTGTTTCCAGAGATTTTGTTCTTTGTTTTTATTTACCATGTTTCTATTATCACTTTCTTTTGTCTGAAGAACTTCATTTAGGATATATTTTAAAGCACATCTGTTGGCACTGATTTTTTTTTTGTTTGCTTACTTAATAATATCTATCTTTAGTCTTCTTTATTTAAGAATATTTTTAGTGACATAGAATTCTGGGTTGGTAGTTATTGCCTTTCATCGATATTCCAATCTTGGAATGGGGCAATGAGGAATTAAGTGGTTATTGAAATAATCCAACTGAAAAGAAATGAGGCTCTGAACTGACAAAATGGAAATGAAAATGAGGGAACAGTTGAGATGAAAGTTGAGAACAGAATCAGTCAGTCTCAGATATGTAGGGTGGATAGATAAGAACATTTGTGCTATCTTTCCTTTATATGTTTCTTTCTATTGTCTCATGGCTTCCCTCATTTGTAAGAAAAAGTTAGCTTTAGGCTTTATGGATGCTCTTATGAAATAACTGTGTCCTTTTTTTTCTGCTGGATCTATCTTTCTTCAGGCCATTATCTCTTTAAACATTGCTTATATCACATTTTCTCTCCTTATGTTAGATATTTTTACCTTGTCCTCTATATTCCCTACATACTTTTATTTCTGTTTATCTCTCTGTGTTTTCATTTGGATATTTTTTCTCTCTGTGCTTTCAACTGGATATTTTATGCTAATCTTTCTTCTAGTTCACTAATAATCCTTTTTGCTTTGTCTCATTGGTTGTTAAACCCATCCCTTAGTTTCTCAGTTTCACTTCTAGATTGCTCATGTATTATTTTTAGGAGTAGATTCATGTCTCTACTTGATTTTCTATATTTTGTACTGCTCTATTGTAAGGGGACTGAATAACTGTCTATACTTGTGTCACTGTAGCTGTTAGTATTATCTGTTTTTTCTTTTTCTATTTGTAATTTGAGCCCATTTCTAATCATGCTTGGTAATTTTGGATTGTATGCTTGATAGTGTATGTAAAAGATCTTGATAATATCTTTCTCCTGAGATTTTTTTTTTAAGAAGGCAGCTAGAATAAAGGCTAATCATCTTGATCCAATCAGTGATGAAGTGAACTGAGACTGCTTTCCAGATCAATCTCTTTCTGGTTTGTTCTTGTCACTAGTCTGTTGTCTTTCCAGGGTCTTACGTGAAGCCTGAATAGTTTACCATACCCCTCTACCTTTAAAGCCCCTAAACTCATTTTGACTTCCAAGCTCTGTGAGAATGTAAAGTTCTGCTTAGCTTTTACAGATCTTGGCAGCAGCTCTATGCTGACTTTTTCTACTTCTTGCTCCATTCAGCCCATTCCTAATGGGTAAAATCCAAGCTGAACGTGATTTTGTTTTCCCCTTGATTTTGGTTCCTCAATTTCTGGTTGGCTTGGGAGTTCTGAATCCAAATTTTTCTAAGTATAATTTTGAAACTGTGAATTTTAAGACTCAAATTGTTTGTTTTTTATGTACCATCCTGGGAATTGGCAAATGTATCAAAGAAAAAAATGGTAGTAAATGTGGGGCTTACCTAAATGTACATCCCTTCCCTCCTGGAGATTAATCCCTCAAGTCCAGGCTACCTTGGTTGTTGTCTGATTCCTTTAAATAGCTGTTTAGTCTTTTGTATTTTATGTATGTTTGATTTTGTATTTTATGTATGCTTTGTATTTTATGTATGTTTCTGTCCATGGCAGAAAGTTTGGTTTCATGCAAGCTACTCCATTAATGATATAAGTGAAAGATCTCTATTTTTTCTTAAAGGTCGGAGGACATAAGAATCATTTGAAGTCCTTGAAAAATAGCTTTCTAGGTTCCATATCTGAAGATTCTGATTTATACCTCCATATTTAACAAAGTACCAGATAATTTTGACATAGTTGGTCCTGTAATGAAATTCTACATCCTTTAGATTCTATAGGTCAAAACCTAAAATTCACCTATTCCATTGTGATAAAATGTTTATGTTTTATTGACAACAATGTTAGTAAGAAGAAAGCTAGCATTATCACAAACTTCTGGATTTCTTTTTGCGTGAAAAGAGTATGTAAAACCAAGGAATAGAAACTCATTAGGAAAGGAAAATGAGGGGAGAGTCTATTTGATGGGGGTGCAAAACTCCCTAGATATGAAATTAATATATAATCCATTAGTCATAAATTTTCAGTAGCAGTAATTGGTAGCTCCATAGAGGATCCATATTCAGGCTATTGGGATTCATTCTACATAGGCCTGCCTTAAATGTAATTATCATTGAATTGACTCATCTTCTATCGAGACACATTTTTCAGATACATTTTGATGTAGAGATCTTGTAAGTTCTTTCCTTATTATGATTTATAAGATGAGATTGTGTTAAGCTGGAATGATTTTTGTGTGTATGTGTGTTTGGTTTAATTTTGTTTTAGAGTTATTGTAGCTATATCTCTGCTAGGCTGTTCCTATCAACAGCTAATATCTGTAAGTCTCTATTTACTCTTCTGTTTAATGGAAAGGAAAATGCCTAGTGTACACCTCTATTTATATCCTCTTTGAGGGCCTATTGACACAATTCTTACAAAATTGTTTTATAAATAATAAAGCACTAAAATTTTTTTTGGTTATTTAAAGAGACAGAGAGATAGTGCAGGCAATGACATAGAGGGAAGAAAGCTCAAGATTTGCCAGAAGTCATTGGTTGTTCCATATGGCTGAGTTGATGTGAATGTAAAAATAAACTAGTAAAATGAGGTTGGACCAGATAATGGAAGTCTTGATTTTCGGGCCAAATTTGGTCATTTCTTCACTAGGCAATACAAAGCATTGCCTTATGAAGGGAGGGTTGGCATGACACAAGAAAAATTATATGACATTAGGTGTAAGATGTCCTGGAATGGGGCAATGAGGAATTAAGTGGTTATTGAAATAATCCAACGAAAATAAATGAGGCTCTGAACTGAGGAAATGGAAATAAGAATGAGGGAACAGTTGAGATGAAAGTTGAGAACAGAATCAGTCTCAGATATGAAGGGTGGATAGATAAGAACATTTGTGCTATCTTTGCTTTTCCTAAGTTTTGATGACAGGGAGAATTAATAGAAATAGGGAACACAGGTATGGCCCCAAATCTCAAACTTAATCTGGCTCAATAATTGCTTTTTTACTATACAGTTACAAAAGAGATTTTCCATGTCCCCAGGCACTTCTTTATCTCAAATTGCCACTACATATGGCATTAATTGTTTAAAAATTATAACTATTAGATATTCAGTAGTGTTTCTGTGTCTCCTACGGATGAGCCAACATTCCAACTTCCAAGTGTTCACTTTTAAATAAAACACATTTACTGAATTTTTCTGACACAAATTGTATTACATGTGTAAGGGCTAAATCTCGAAAAGTTTAACAGATAAAAATCCAGTTATGCACAAGGGATTAACACAGGCAACTCCCGTTAATGTTAATCATCCAACTCCTTGGCCGTTAAAGTTTCACCACATTCAGAGAAGAGGTTACATATGAAGAGGAAGTAGACAGGCAAGTAAATCATTTCCGTACAGTCCATTGTACGAGCCATTAAAAATTTTATAAAAGTCATTTGTAAAATGAAGGGTTTTTTTTTAAAGCATAAATACTAAGGAGCAGCACTTCCTTCTTAAGGCTTGCAAATTTGCTTTGGCTGAGATGACCATCCGTGTTGAGTTTTCAGGACTTGTGCTCTTGGTTATGTCTCCTGTGGTTATTCAATGCCATCCCCATCATCTGGCATTTCTTGCCTTCTCTGCTTTAGAAATAATAATAACCAGTACTTATTGAATGCCCATTCTATGATAGTTGCATTAGATCACAGATTCTCAAAGTGTGGTCCCTAGACATCAGTGTCATCTGAGAACTTGCTGGAAATGCAAATTCCTGGCCTCTACTCCAGAACTACTGATTCAGAAAGTCGAATGATGGGGTCCAGCAAATGGTCTTTAACAAGCCCTGCTGGGGATTCTTAGGAACTGAGAACCACGGTTTTACACTTATCTCCAATCACAATATGTCTGCTGTTAGGAATTACCTTTTCAGATGTCAAAATTAAGGCTGAGAGAGGTAAGTAATTTGCCTAAAGTTGGGCAGCGCTTAGGATCTCAAAAGCGGATCTATAACCTACTTCATTACCTCATCACACCGCTCCTTTGTAGTGTGCATTAACTGAAGACTAAATGCAGGCTTGTGTCACAGAAGAACAAGGCCCACGTCATGACTCCTGATGTTATGTTATGAAGCTGTGGGCAAAGCATTTTGACCCTTTGTGCCTGTTTTCATACATGTAAAGTAGGCTTGAGGATCATTTACCACTGTGTGTGTGTGTATGCATATGATAAGCCAACCAACACGCTACTACCCAGGGCTATGAGATAAAATACTAAGCTATGCTAGGTGACTAGAAAACATTATTTCCAAAAGAAGTCATGCAGATGATAAAATAATATGCTTTGATAAATTGATTTGACTTCTCTTTACAATCCCTACCATGTAAATCTCTACTGAATAGCATTAAGAGCTTTCTGTGGTCTTAGCCTGAGTTGAAACATTTGGCCCTTGTGAATGCACCATGGACAGGTTGAATTTTCAGCTCCTGATTCCCAGCTTGCTCCCCTTTCCTCTAGTAGGAATTATGTTTACTTCTCTTTATACAAGATTTCATTAACATAGTTACTCTCAGCTAAATCCTGTGCATGCCACTAATCCCACTACTCCTAAGAAACTGGCTTCTAAAGTTAATGTTTATTCATTTTACAAATATTTTTTAAAAACCCATGTTCTCAGTACTATGCACTAGAAGGAATGTAGATGAAACCATCGGACAACATACATTCTCTACTTTATGGCTTTTACCTGGAGTGCATGTAAATCATATACACATAATAAATGGTGAAACAAAGCAACAATATAAGAAATCTCATGGAAGAGGATGTTGCTGTTACAGTTGCTGTGAATTCAGGGACCAGAGTGAGATGATTTTGTTAGCATTATCTTGGAAGAATTCATCCTGAGAGTTTATAACCTAAGGAGAACCCAGAGAAAGGGAGAGGAGAGAAAAGAAGGAAGACGTGTTATGCTTAGACAGAGCGTGTTTCTTCCCACCACTTCATCTCCCTCTGTAGTTCTTCTTTGGCCCTACTTTCAGTGAAACATTGAAGTGGCAGTGTGCATCTGTGTGGCCCAGAAATGGATGGCTAGTGCTAATGTACATGTTGGTTATTTTTCTATTCTTTTCTCAGTCCGCTTAGACTGAAATCTGTATTCAGAGGAAAAGAGTTTCACATTTCTCTGAGAGCACTGTTGACTTGTGTAAAATATTAACTTGACTTCATAAGAAAGGAATGATGTGGGTGACAAAAATGCTAATTGGTGAGGAAGGAGTAGAGATAAGATTTCAAGCTGACATGGATCCTTCCAACCTTGGGAAAACTCTGCAGCTGGGTGGCTCTCTGGGTGCTGTACTCATCTATATGCAGTGACGGTCTGTGTTCCCGACATGAGTGAACTGAAGACCCTAGAGCTTGTGCCAAGAGCTCCTTCTGAAAGCAATTATCAGGATTCACCATATGATTTCAATTCTTTATGGACTATAAAAGAGACTCTTCACCATTTTTTGAAAAGGGATATGAACAGGAATGCTGGTGGCTTATGCATTATTTAGAGCCTGTCATCCTGCCTTGGTCTCACAAAGGAGAATGACAGCGTTGTCAGAGTGGTTTCAACGTATGTGCTGGTGGAAATAGAGATGTTAGATTTTGTAGCTTCTCTGAATTACCTGTAATCTGGTGACCTATAATTAGCTTCTTGAGGATATTAAATCCTCATTTTTTTCACTTATCACTGAAGAAAGGTGTCTGGTATCTCATTGTATTTAAAAAAATCACATTGTACATATATTTGAGAAAGGTAGTTTCATGATAACAAAATTGTTAACTCTGCTTATAGTTTGTCCACAGTCATGCATATAAAAGTTTAAAGGACATTGCATGGATACAGCTGATAGCAGGATTTGACTCACTCTTTTTTCTAATACTGCCGCATAAAGCTATCTTGCTTTGTTTTGAGACACTTTCAGTGAAGTACTTAGGAATTTGGATAAGACTGTTACATCAAGACACATTGACAAAAATGCTTGGCAGCAGCCCCATCTTATAATTTAGTAGCTCCTTTACCTCCTTTCCTTTTACCGTACATGGATCTCTTATCTGTTTATGAGAGGAAGCTTAGGTTTGAAACCTTTGAGTCAACACTGCCCTTCTATGCTGATCAGTTACTAAGCCCTTTTCCTTCCACTGGCACATGCCTCTGGAAATTGCTCCCACTATATAATAGTCAGCCTTCTCCAGAAAAACAGAACCAATATGATGAATATGTAGGATATAAATATGTGTATATATGGGTATATGCACATACACCATACACACACACACACACATAGGTACATAAGAAGAGATTTATTATGGGAATTGGCCTGCATGGTTATGGAGGCTGCAAAGTCCCACGATATGCCATCTGCAAGTTTGAGAACCAGGAAGCCTGGTGATGTAATTCAGTCTGAAGTGGAAGGTGAGGTCTGAAGCTGAAACCCAGGGTTGGTGTATGGATTGGGGAGGACAGCTAATATAAGTCCCAGAGTCCAAAAGCCTGAAAATCAAGAGCTCCAGTGTCTGAGAGCAGGAGAAAATGGATGTCTCAGCTCAAGAAGAGAGAGAAAATTTGTGCTTCCTCTAAATATGGTTTGGATCTGTGCCCCTCTCAAATCTCATGTAAAATTGTAATCCCCAGTGTTGGTGGTGGGGCCTGGTGGCAGGTGATTGGATCATGGGGGTGGAGTTCTCATGAATGGCTTAGCACCATCTCTTTGGTGCTATTCAAATGATAGAGTTCTCATGAGATCTGGTTGTTTAAAAGTGTGTGGCACCTCCCTCCCCAACTTCTTTCTGCTCCAGCCGTGTAAGACGAGCCTGCTTCCCCTTTGCCTTCTGCCATGATGGTAAGTTTCCTGAGGCCTCCTCAGCCATGCTTCCTGTAAAGCCTGTGGAACTGTGAGCCAATTTAAACCTCTTTTCTTTATAAATTACCCAGTCTCAGGCATTTCTTTATAGCAATGTGAGAACACACTAATACACTCTGTCTTTTTGTATTATTCAGGATCTCAAAGGATTGGGTGATGCCCGTTTTCATTGATGAGGATTATCTTCTTCAGTAAGTGTAAAGACTCAAATTCTGATATCTCCTGAAGACACCCTCACAGATACACCCAGAAATAATGTTTTACCAGCTATCTGAGCATTCCTTCACCCAGTCAAGTTAACACATAAAATGAATCATCACACACTTCAATTCTTCCCCCTCGATCCTCTAATCTAGTCTCTTCTTCTCTCAGTTGCTCTTGATTCCTGTGGTCTTTCTCCTTTTTCCAACACAATGCATAGGCCTTGCATTACCAGACTCATCTCTGAACACTTCTTCCATCACGTCACTGCCAAACTTAAATTACTTCTAGTTGATACCCAAATAAAGTACAAACTCCTCTGTGTAATAATTAGGGTTATCCTGCAAAGTGTAGCCATATTGGTTACTTCTTCCTGGTTACACCCTATGCTCTAGGCAGCCTTGGCTATAGCTGTCTCCTTCTCTTTTATTGATAGATATTTAAGGGGTATAAGTGCAGTTATGTTACATGGATATATTGCACAGTGGTGAAGTCTGGGCTTTTAGTGTAACCATCACCTGAATAGTGTACATTGTATCCATTAAATACTTTCTCATTCCTCATACCCTTCCCACTCTCCCACGCTTCCAAGTCTCCAAAGTCTATTATTCCACATTATGTGTCCCTGTGTACACATTATTTAGCTCCCACCTATAAGTGAGAATATGCAATATTTGACTTTCTGTTTCTGTTTTTTTTTTTAACATAAGTTAATGGCCTCCAGTTCCATCCATGTTGATTCAAAAGACATGGCTTTATTTTTTTATGGCTGAGTAGTACTCCATTTTATATATACACACACACATATGACATTTTCTTTCTCCAGTCATCTGCTGATGGACACTTAGGCTGATTCCATATCTTTGCAGTTGTGAATAGTGCTGTGATAAACATATGAGTGCAGGTTTCTTTTTTATACAGTAGATTCTTTTCCTTTGGGTAGATGCCCTGTACTGGGATTGCTGGATTGAATGGCAGTTTTATTTTTAGTTCTTTGGGAAATCTCCATACAGTTTTTGATAGAGGTTGTACTAATTTCCATGCCTACCAACAGTGTATCAGTGTTCCCTTTTCTCTGCATCCTCACCAACATTCGTTATTTTTAGAATTTTTAACAGTAGCCATTCTGAATAGTGTAAGATGGTATCCCATTGTGGTTTTAATTTGGATTTCTCTGATGATTAGTGATGTTAAGCATTGTTTTCATATGCTTATTAACCATTTGATGTTTTCTTTTGCTTATGTCCTTTGCCTACTTTTTGATGGGGCTATTTGTTTTTTTCTTGTTGAGTTGTTTGAGTTCCTTGTAAATTCTGCATATTAGTCCTTGGTCAGATGGAGAATTTGCAAATATTTTCTCCCATTCTAAAAGTTGTCTGTTTACTCTGTTGACTGTCTCTTGCTGTGTAGAAGATTTATGGTTTAATAAAGTCCCAATTGTCTATTTTTGGTTTTGCTGCATTTGCTTTTGTGGTCTTAGTTATGGATTCTTTACCTAGGCTAATGTCCAGAAAATTTTTTTCTAGGTTTTCTTCTAGTATTTTTATAGTTTCAGGTCTTAAAGTTAAGTCTTTAATACGTCCTGAGTTAATATTTTTATATGGAAAAAGATAGTGGCACAGTTTCATTCTTCTGCATATAGCAATTCAATTTTCCCAGCACCTTTTAATGAATAGGGTATTCCTTTCCAAGTGTTTGCTTTTGTCAGCTTTGTCAGAGATCCATTGGCTATATGTATGTTGCTTTATTTCTGTGTTCTCTATTGATTTCCATTAATCTGTGTGTCTACTTTCATGCCAGTATTATGCTGTTTTGGTTACTATAGCCTTGTAGTATACTTTGAAGTCAGCAATGTGATGTCTCAAGCTATACAAATGTTTCTTATTCACATGTCTTTATTTTAGTAACTTCAAAGTTTTAAATTTGAATTTACATCTCCTGAAATTAAGAGACAGTTGTTGCCTTAATAACTTAGGGTTCAAATCATAACCATTCCTTAAAAATCCGTAACATCTATAACTAGGTGACCTCTGCAATAAAAACTGTTCTATTGCTCATTATTATATATTCTTTCCTTTGAAACTCTATGCATAAATTATCTTTTGCATAAAAAATACCTCAAATGTAGCGGCTTGAAATAACACACATATATTATCTTATGGTTTATGTAGGCCAGGAATTCAGGGACAGCTTAACTGGGTCCTCTTATTAGGGTTTCGTAAGTCTGAAATTAAGGTATCAGTCAGGATGAATTGGGTTCTTATCTGAAGGCTTAACTGAGAATGGATCTACTTCCAAGCTTCCTCAGGTTGTTGGCAAAATTCATTTTCTTAAAGCTGTAAGATTCATGGCAGCTCACTTCTTCAAAGCCAGCAGTGGAGCAGGAGAGATTTCAGTATGATGGGCTGTATACTCTGATGTAATACTGTATATGTAATCAATCCCCTCTGCCATGTTCCATTGGTTAGAAGCAGGTCACAGATCTTACCAACAGTCAAGGAGAAGAAATCACACAAGGACATCAACACATTAAGAATCATGGGGACCTCCTAAGAATCTGTCTGCCACACTGTATATTTTCTTCTTCTCTTCAGTATTTTTTATGTCTCTCTTACCTTTTAATAACCTGATTTTCTGTTTATTAGATGTTTTAACTAGCTAGGTTCAATGATAGCCTGTTTGTGCCTTATTGTGCCTGCACTGTTTGGTGCAAAGTATATGTGGGTTAAATAACATATAACTTGAATCGATCACTGGATGCTATATTTTTCTGTAGAGTCTATGTTTTTCTGTGTTTAACAGATTATAAACTTTTAAAAGGCAAGAGGAATGTTTGTAACTTATTTTACATATTACCTAATTAGGAAAAAATCAACATTTAATATTATATTATTATCACTTATTAAATAAACATTTTAGAGCCTGAAAGCATTAAACATTTAAATTTGTAGTATGAATATAATCCTGCCATCAAAATTATGTAAGTATTATACCCTGTGAGGTACATTACATGAAAGATGCCTAGATGTCTTTGGTTTTCCAGGAATCTCATGCCATTGATATTAGGGCACCATGTTTTTCTTAATTCTCTTTTCTTAACTTTGCCTGAAACATTAGCTGTTGTGGAAAGATGGCAAACATCTTAATCAGGGGAACTAAATAAGAGATGTATTTCTGGGCCAAGGTAGAGTGGTGGGCCCTGGTAGAAAGGTATGAGGGGAGAGAGTCTAGGAAGAAAGAGTAAGAAAGTAAAATAATCCCGCCATTGGTAACAGGATTTGCCAAAGGGTTTCCATAGGACTTATTTTTTAAAATATATCTTAAAGATGTTATAATGAATTAAAAATTCTATTGTCTAAAGAATTTAAGTGACATTAAACAGATTTCCTTCAAAAGGTACCTTTCGAACTCTTAATATGCTAATGAGCATTGTTTGCATCCAAGAGGAAAATTTTAACAACTAATTTCAACTTTTATTTTAGATTCAGGAGGTACATGTGCAGGTTTGTATATATTGTGTGATGCTGAAGTTTGGGGTACAATTGATCCTGTCACCCAGGTAGTGAGCACAGTACTCAATAATGAGTTTTTCAACACCTGTCCTCTCCATTACTATTACTGTAGGAACAGAAAACCAAATACCAAATATTCTCACTAATGACTGTGAGCTAAACATTGGGTACTCATGGACATAAACATAGCAACAATAGAAACTAGGGGCTACTAAAGCCTTCCCCACTCTAGTAGCCCCTAGTTTCTATTGTTGCTATCTTTATGTCCACGAATACCCAACGTTTAGCTCACGCTCTTAAGTTAGAATATTTGGTATTTGGTTTTCTGTTCCTGCAGTAATTTACTTAGGATAATGGCCTCCAGCTGCATCTGTGTTGCTGCAAAGGACATCATTTTGTTCTTTTTTTAAATCACTGCATAGTATTCCATGGTGTATATATGCCACATTTTCTGTATCCAATCACCGTTGATGGGTCTAGGTTGATTCTATGACTTTGCTATTGTGAATAATGCTGTGATGAACATATGAGTGCGTGTGTCTTTTTGGTAGAAAAATTTATTTTCTTTTGGATATATACCCAGTAATTGGATTGCTTTTTCAAATGGTAGTTCTCTTTTAAGTTCTTTGAGGAATCTCCAAACTTCTTTCCACAGCAGCTGCACTAATTTACATTCCCACCAAGAGTGTATAAGTATTCCCTTTTCCCTGCAGCCTCACCAGCATCTGTCTTTTTATGTTTTTTCTTTTTTATTTATTTATTTTTTAATAATAGCCATTTTGACTGGTGTGAGATGGTATCTCATTGTGGTTTTGATTTAGATTTCTGTGATAATTAGGGATGTTAAACATTTTTTCATACACATGTTAACCATTAAATGCCTTCTTTTGAGAAGTCTCTGTTCATGTCTTTTGCACACTTTTTAATGGGGTTATTTGTTTTTTGCTTGTTGAATTGTTTAAGTTCCTTGTAGACTCTGCACATTAGACCTTTGTTAGATGCATAGTTTGTGAATATGTTCTCCCATTCTGTAGATTGTCTGTTTGTTGATAGTGTCTTTTGCTGTGCAGAGTTTCACTGGGGATTAGAATTTGACCTGAAATTTGGGTGGGGACACAGATCCAAATCATATCACTAAGAATTCCAGTATTATGTTGAATAAGAGCGGTGAGAGTGGGCATTCATGTCTTGTTTCAGTTCTCAGGGGGAATGGTTCTAGCTTTTGCCAGTTCAGAATGATGTTGGCTGTAGGTTTGTCATAGACATCTCTTATTATTTTGAGGCATGTTCCTTCAATGCCTAGTTTGTTGAGGGTTTTTATCATGAAAGAGTATTGGATTTTATAGTAAGATTTTTCTGCCTGTATTGAGATAATGATATGGTTTTTGTTTTTAATTCTGTTTATGTGATAAATCACATTCATTGATTTGCATGTGTTGAGCCAAACTTGCATCCCAGGAATGAAGCCTACTTGATCATGGTGAATTAACTTTCTCATGTGCTGCTGGATTCAGTTTGCTAGCATTTTTTTTTAAAGACGTTTATGTCTATGTTCATCAGGGATATTTGTCTGTAATTTTCTTTTTTCATTGTGTCTTTGCCAGGTTTTGGTGTGAGGGCAATGCTGGCTTTGTAGAATGAATTAGGGAGGAATCCCTCCTTCTCGATTTTTTTGGAATAGTTTCAGAACTAATACAAGCTCTTATTCATACATCTTGTAGAATTTGGCTGTGATTCCGTCACGTCTGGGGCTTTTTATGGTTGGTAGGTTTTTGATTACTGATTCAATTTTGGAATTCAATATTGGTCTGTTCAGGATTTGAATTTCTTCCTGATTCAATCTTGGGAGATTTTTTCCAGAAATTTATACATTTCCTCTAGATTTTCCAGTTTGATTGCATGGAGTTGTTTATAATAGTCTCTGAGTCATTACATGTGACCTGGGTCTCTTAAAGACAGCAGACAGATGGGTCTTATCTTTTTATCCAACTTGCCACTTTGTGCCTTTTACAGGGGGGCACTGAGGCAGTTTACATTCAAGGTCAATATTGATATGTGATGTGTCGATCCTATTGTGAGGTTACTTGGTTGCTTTGTAGTTTCTATTGTGGGTTCCTTTAGAGGATCTGTGGACTATGTACTTAAGTGTGTTTTTTTGGTATTAGGTATCATTCTCTCATTTCCATGTTGAGAACTCCCTTAACAATCTCCAAGAGGAAGATTTAACGTGTAACTTCTCTGAAATCAGTTTTTACTGGAAATGTGTATGTGTGTGTGTGTGTGAGAGAGAGAGAGAGAGAAAAAGAATTGGGAGATTTCCTGAGTGGTTAAAAAAACAAGTTAAGTTGAAAGGAAAAAAACCAAAAGGACATTTAAATCCTCCATTGACTCCTACATTGTTTGAGAGGACAACATTTAGATCATAGTTGTGTGGATTTGGGTGGGAGAAGAGACACCTGGGTGCAAAAGGAAGGAAAAGAAACACTTTCAAGCATCTATGTTTCCATCTTGAATTTAGTTAGCTTGAATGCAGCTTTTTCATTAGTCAGCAAATCTACGATGGAAAGGTCCATGGTCAATGTAGCAATTTTATCAAGTTTCTACTAAGTCATTTGAACAAGTAGTGAATTATCAAAATCATACAGTTTTTTAAACTAATAACTGAATAGTTAATATCCACATGTACCCATATGGGGTTAGAAGCTAAATATGCTACCTGAAATTTTAAGCTAAATTTAATTGTTCTGTGTCTTGTCATTTTAATGTTGAATTCCTGTCAATCTGTTTATTGAAAAGGATATAAGGCTTTCCTATAATAGTCTAAGGTTTGTTTTACTAGGTTTAAGGATTGATATTTTATAAACTTAAGATTGATTGTTAAAAAAAGAAACCCAAACAACTGCATTTTCTAGAATGTTTACTCTAGAGAATTGTGTTTGCTGTCTTAGAGGAGTAAGCTGTGTTTGTCATAGGAGGCTGAATCTGCTCAGCCACCTTCTGAAAATTGACTTGCTGAATATAATTTTACTTATCTAGTTAGAACTACGCAACTGATGGATAAGATCTGAAAATTCTTTTAATGTTTGAATGTTGCTTGAAAGCATTCCTCTAAGCATAAATCTTTATAAGTAAATATTAATGTGTTTTTAATGGGATAACTTTAAAAAACTAAACAAAACAAAAAACCATTTTCTCAAAGATGATACTGAAGTTCTAAATTTAAATAAAGGAGATAATGGGGATACCCTTAACAGATAGTAAAATAAAGCAGGAGTATTTGGTATGGAGGAAATTTACCAATAACCAATGTGTAACAGTGTCAAAGAGAATCTTAAAGGTTTCCTTAGAAAAAATATTTAAATAAAATAAAGCAAGGCAGGCAAATTTTGTCAAATATATATAGAGTTTTCTATTAGTGCTCTCCAGAGAAACAGAACACCATAGGAAATATATGTATGTGTATTTATATGTGTGTGTGTATATATATATAAAATAAGGAATTGGCTCAAGTGATTATGGAGGCTGAGAAGTCCCATGATCTGCCATTTGCAAGCTGGAGACCCAGGAAAGCCAGTAGTGTAATTTGAAGGCCTGAGAGAACTGTTGGTGTAGATTACAGTTCTAGTCTTAAGGTTCTACCATTCCTGAGAACCAGGAATGGTGAGCACAGTAGCAGATTGATGTTCAGCGTATGCAGTAAGGCAGAGGGAGAGGGAATCCAGCTTTCCTCTGCTTTTTTGTTTTATGCAGGCCTTCATGCTAAGGAGGACCATCCGCTTTATTCAGCCCACCAATGCAAATGCTAATATCTTCCAGAAACACCTTCGCAGACATACCCAGAGATAATGTTTAATCAGATATTGAGGCATCCCATGGCCCAGTCAAATTGACATATAAAGTGAACTAAAAAAGGGTTCTTAGAAAAGTCTTTAAGTGGGCAGTCTGGAAGGGATTGTGGAAGGGCTCATTGAGTGAACGGGCTCAATTTTAACATTTTAACAGTTCTTTTAACAAGAACTGAAGAAAAAAATGAATGAAATTCCTAAGTGTGTGTAATGTCAAAGTTTTAAGATGTATCTCTTATGATGTGGTGACTTATAAAAAATTATTTGGAGACCTGAATTACTGGAACTCAAAATGCTAACATTCCATACATTTGAAAACCTCTATTTCATAGTCCTTTTTTTTTGACAAATGAATGAGTGAATGAAGAGATTTGGAGGTGGGTATGGGCAGCATGCAGTATTGAATTGTGAAATTTAAAAATGTTTGCAAAAGTGCAAGCTGCACAATATCTTACTTTGTAGGTGAGATTTAGGTAGCAATTGATCATATCTGATTCTGTAACTAATAGTGTATGAGATTATTCTATATACTGAAATTTAAAAAAATTAGGCTTATAAGTTCCTCTCTTTTTTCTCATCTACTTTTCCTCTTTTGCTTGCTATTCTTTTAGTTATTTATTTCTGTCAGTACTGAATTCAGTGCCAGTATTAATTAAATCCCAACTTTGACTACTTTATACCAAGACAGATGACAGATACAAAGGTAAAGAGGGCATGGCCCTCGGCTCAAGCTCAATATAACTCCAAATGGAGCTTGATAATTCCAATGGAAACATGGACGAGAGTTTGGAGCAGTACAGTGTACAGAAAAATATTCCTGCTCTGGAGTAAACTGTCAGAGGCATTCAAACTGGAGCAATTCCATCTTGAACAAGGGCTGGGTAAAATAAGGCTAATACCTACTGGGTTGCATTCTCAGGAGGTCAGACATTCTTAGTCACAGGATGAGATAGGTGGTTAGCAGGACTGTTATAACAAGATACAGATCATAAATACCCTGCTAATAAAACAGGATGCAGTATAGAAGCTGGTCAAAACCTACCACATTCAAGATGGCAATGGAAGTAACTTCTGGTTGTCGTCACTACTCATTATAAGCTGATTGTAATGTACTAGCATTTTGTTGGAAGATAATGTTAGCAAAGTAGGTAGTGAATACAAGTTGTGTTCTTTCATCTTAATCTTTAATTAGATAGATTGTGGAACAGAGAAGTAACAAGTTTAAACTATGTTTAATAGAATGGCGCCTCTGCCTCACTTTTCTATAATTATTCTTATAAACTGATGCCGAATCTAGACTTTGGCTGTGAGGATGGATAAGAAGACAATGGATGCCTGAGGAATTGATGGTTGACTTGATAGAGTTCGGGAAATGGAACTCAGATATGACTGAAGGTGCTAGCCCGAGTGAGTGGCTCCATTAATAATGGCGCAGACTGAAGGAGAAAGGAAGGTGGGTTTAGGAAGCAGAGACAGGATACTCAGTTTTAGAAACTGATTTTAGAATAAAAGGAGGAAATTCCCTTGATGATTACCAATAATCAGATGGCATTTCTGGTTTGGATTTTCAGAGAAGGCTTAAAGCTAGAATTGGAGAGGTAGAAATCATTAGTTCAGATATGCTGGTTGAAGCCAGTATGGGGAAGACCAACAGTAAGTGTTTATAAAGAGAAAGGACATCAAAGTACAAACTTTCTTGCTGAATAAAATCACACTCAAACAGCCTAGGTTTTGTCACCAAGTTAATGCCTCTTTGGTTATCTTCTTTCTCTGGGGTGCTCTTTTGTCTCTAAAGCTTGGGAGTGCTGTCTTTTCTTTTAGGTTTCCATCTAGAGGCCATTAAGTCCCTATATTGGCCCTAGGATCTTCTATTAATCCATCTATCCATCTAGATACCCAGCTCACAGGTAGTTACTAAATAATAGATAATAAAGATACATAGATGAATAGGGCATAGTCCCTGTTCTCATGGGATTTAGTCTTATGGCAAGGAAAGACATATAAATTGTTAATTGAAATGTGATAAATGTCACGATAAATGTGTGTGGGGGCTATTGAGGAAAAGGAGCAAATCACACAGTCTGTAGGGGAGGTATGAATGGGAAAGCTCTTTTGTAGAACATGAGGCCTGGTATAAGTCATAAAGAAGGTATAAGAGTTAATTCAGAAAGTATCACAGCAAGGTAAGGTACATTGTAGAGGATTTCCTAGGAAGAGATAAGCATGAAGAAGAGTAGAAAATTGAGATGCATAGTGTCATCTCTTACACAATTTGTACCTAAATCTCCCCATTTGTCCCAGGAATGTTTTCATGGCTAATTTCTTTTCTAAAGCAAGGACCCAATTTGATTTTATATATTACATTTTTTTGTGCTTTTTCATAACTTTTCATCTGGAGCAATTCTTTCACTTGCTTTGTTGTTTTAATGGTCTTAATTTTTTGAGTAATTTAAAACTTGTAGAATTTTCAGAATTTTTCTGATGGTTTCTTCATGATGTCCTTTAATTTGTTCCTCTAGCTCTATATTGACTACTAATAAACTGGAAGGTAGCTCATTAAGTCTAGAAGCTTGATGAGGTTCAGGTTAAAAATTATGACACTTCATAGTTGATGTAGAATACTTCATATTGTAACACATCAGGAGGGATATAGTATCAAATTGTCTCTCTATTCATGATGTGAAATTCTGTCACTCAGTTAAGGGGCTGAACATTAGGCCATTCCATTGTAAAGCTGGTATTTTCTTTCAGCAATCATTAAGCAATCTGTGGAGTGATACATGTTAGGAGGCCATTCTTCATAGGACTCTTCTCTTTCTGCACATTATGCAAGCAGAGGATTGATTGTTTTCACTCTGGGCTGTCTTTTCAAAGATATTTGTATAGCAAACTGCATTGGAAGATTGAGACAATATCCCCTTCTGGAACAAAAGGCAGATTTATTTCCTGTCCAAGATAAGAAAGATAATATCTCCTTCCAAGGCAAAAGTTGAGTAGGTTTGCTAGGAGCCCCTTTTTCCTAGCCCAAGAATCAAACCCACTGTGTGTATAGCATGCACCTGGATTAATCTGAACACTATGGGGAACAAAGGAAAATAAATGCAAACAGTAAGCTAATGTTTCCTGCTGTGCTGAATAATAGTTATTTCACTCTGACCTAGGAGTTTTGTGTCTTTTCCAGTACCCATTAAATTGGCAGGTTAACAGCCTGCAAGCAGCGTAATATGTCAGATACTTCACAGTTCTTGACTGCAATTATACTCACTGTCAATTTTTTTGTATGATGAAATTCTAAAATTATTGCTTCTGCATTTTTAGTTGACATTCATTCTTCCATAAAGAGGAGCCTCTTGTTTTCCTCTCTTTTAAAATTTTCTTTTTTATGTCACTGTAGGCTCCCTGATTTTTATTTATTCAAAATACATAAAATAAATAAAAAGGTTTCCTCAAAAAGCCTTGGTTCCTTGAATGGGAATTAGTATTTAGAAATTAAGATCTAAGCTCTAGGTATTTCTAGGCCTTGTTATTTATGACATTAGAAAATATAATCTTAAAAATTATGAATTTATGTTGATATTTCCATTTTAAGTTTAATTTTAATGTTACAGGGTTTTCCTCCTAAAATCTTTTATTTTATGTTTGCTTGCATCTTTGTCTCTTTTTTTGATTATTTGTTTATTTTTATTTTTTAACTTTTAAATTCAGGCGTACATGTGCAGGTTTGTTACATAGGGAAACTCGTGTCATGAGGGGTCATTGTATAGATTATTTCATGACTCACGTATTAAACCTAGTACCGTTTAGTTATTTTTCCTGATCCTCTCCCTCCTCCTACCCTCCACCCTCCAATACCCAGTGAATGTTATTCCCTTCTATGAGTCCATGTGTTCTCATCATTTAGCTCCCACTTATAAGTGAGAACATGTGGTGTTTAGTTTTCTGTTCCTGCATTAGTTTGCTAAGGATAATGGCGTCCAGCTTCAACCATGTCCCTGCAAAGGACATAATCTCATTTTTCTTTATGGCTGCATAGTATTCCATGGTATATATGTACCACATTTCCTTTATCCAGTCTATCATTGATTGGCATTTCAGTTGATTTCATGCCTTTTCTATTGTGAATAGTGCTGCAATAAACATATGTGTGCATGTGTCTTTATAACAGAATGATTTCTATTCCTTTGGGTATATAACCAGTAATGAGATTGCTGGCTTGAATGATATTTCTGTCTTTAGGTCTCTGAGGAATTGCCACACTGTCTTCCACAATGGCTGAACTAATTTATGCTGCCACCAACAGTGTATAAGCATTTCTTTTTCTCCATAACCTTGCCAGCATGTGCTATTTTTTGACTTTTTATTAATAGCCATTTGGCTGGTGTTAAATGGTATCTTGTGTTTTTGATTTGTATTTCTCCAGTGATCAGTAATGTTGAGTGTTTTTTTCCTATGATTGTTGGCTGCATATATGTCTTCTTTTGAAAACTGTCTGTTCATGTCCTTTGCCCACTTTTTTATGGGGTTGTTTTTTCTTGTAAATTTTTAAGTGTTTCTTACAGATGCTGGATATTAGACCTTTCCAGATGCATAGGTTGCAAAAATTTTCTCCCATCTGTAGGTTGTCTGTTTACTCTGTTGATAGTTTCTTTTGCTGTGCAGAAGCTCTTTAGTTTAATTAGATCCCATTTGACAATTTTTGCTTTTGTTGCAATTACTTTTGGCATCCTTGTCATGAAATCTTTGACTGTGCCTATGTCCTGAATGGTATTGCCTAGACTTTCTTCTAGGGTTTTTATAGTTTTGGGTTTTACATTTAAGTCTTTAATCCACCTTGAGTTAATTTTTGTATACAGTGTAAGGAAGGGTTCCAATTTCAATCTTCTGCATATGGCTTGCCAGTTATCCCAGCACCATTTATTCAATAGAGAATTCTTTCCCCATTGCTTGTCTTTTTCAGGTTTGTTGAAGATCAGATGGTTGTTGTAGGTGTGTGGTCTTACTTCTGGGTTCTCTATTCTGTTCCATTGGTCTATGTGTCTGTTTTTGCACCAGTACCATGCTGTTTTGGTTACTATAGTCCTGTAGTATAATTTGAAGTCAGGTAGTGTGATGCTGCCAGCATTGTTCTTTTCGCTTAGGATTGTCTTGGCTATTCAGGCTCTTTTTGGTTCCATGTGAATGTTAAAATAGTTCTCTCTAGTTCTGAGTAGAAGGTCAATGACAGTGTGTTAGAAACAGCACTGAATCTATAAATTGCTTTGAGCAGTATGGCCATTTTAACAATACTGATTCTCCTATCCATGAGCATGGAGTGTTATTCCATTTGTTTGTGTCATCTCTGATTTATTTGAGCAGTGGTTTGTAGTTCTCCTTGAAGAGGTCCTTCACTTCCCTTGTTAGCTGTATTCCTAAGTATCTTATTCATTTTTGTAGCAATTGTGAATGGGAGTTTATGATTTGGCTCTCTGCTTGCTAGTCGTTGGTGTATAGGAATGCTAGTGATTACTGCACATTGATTTTGTATCCTGAGACTTTGCTGAAGTTGTTTATCAGTTTAAGAAGCTTTTGGGCTGAGACTGTGGGGTTTTCTAGATATAGGATCATATAGTCTGCAAACGCATAGTTTGACTTCCTCTTTTCTTATTTGGCTGTGCTTTATTTGTTTCTCTTGCTTAATTGCTCTGGCCAGAACTTCCAATACTATGTTGAATAGGAGCAGTGAAAGAGGGCATCCTTGTCTTGTGTAAGTTTTCAAGGGGAATGCTTCCAGCTTTTGCCCATTCAGTATGATGTTGGCTGTGAGTTTGTCATATGTGGCTCTTATTATTTTGGGGTATGTTCCTTCAATACCTAGTTTATTGAATTTTTAACAAGAGTGAATGTTGGATTTTATTAAAAGCTTTTTCTGCACCATGTGATTTTTGTCTTTAGTTCTGTTTATGTAATAAATCAGATTTATTGATTTGCGTATGTTGAACCAACCTTGCATTCTTACACTTTCAGTCTTAATAAACTTTTCTTCAGTCATGAATTATAAGTTCTCTTAAGTATCTTTTTGAGTCTCAGGATGCCTCATTCTGGACCTCTTGACAGCTCCACAGGCTGACCATTCTAGCCTATAAACGTGCAGGTCTTACCTTCTAAGATCTCACCCAAGATGTTTTCCTTGTAGCAACATGGTTGACAGGCTAAGAAAAGCTTCATTCAACTAATTTCAATTGTGAATCAAGGCTCCTAAACTTAACTGCACTGAATCTACCATTTACCCTTTCATTCCTAAAATATCAAAACAAGCTCCTGATTGGTTTGCTTGTTTCCAGTCTTGTCTCTGTAGACATAATCTATTTTTAATAACAGTGATTTAATTGTCCTGTTGTATTTATACAAATCAGAGACAGGGTTGATTTTTAGATGGTGCAATTATTTTATTCACTACTAAGAAAGAAGTTTAGCCATTAATATAATGACCCAATTTTTAGCACTTTAATTTCTGTTTTCTATGAAAATATCTTTTAAATTTAATGAGACATAGGGTTACATCATGTATCACTATAGATTCATAAGATTAAAGAAATAGGCAAGGTTTCTGGTCTGACATGTAAACAGTTTGGAAGTTGTTATTCTTACAAGAAAAAGCTGAACAGGCTGGGCACAGTGGCTCATGCCTGTAATCCCAGCACTTTGGGAGGCCAAGGTGGGTGGGTCACCTGAGGTCAGGAGTTCAAGACCAGCCTGACCAACATGGTGAACCACCATCTCTACTAAATACAAAAAAATTGGCCAGGCGTGGTGGTGCATGCCTGTAATCCCAGCTACTTGGGAGGCTGAGGCAGGAAAATCACTTGAACACAGGAAGTGGAGGAATCTTGGCAGTAAGCCAAGATTGTGTCATTGCACTCCAGCCTGGGCAACAGAGTGAGACTCTGTCTTGAAAAAAAAGAAAAGAAAAGAAAAGCTCAACAAACTGAAAATCAACAACTTTTTTTTAATCCCGCATAAAATTATTGGCATAGGACAAACTGCCACCCTAACAACTAGAGAGATTGGCAGATACAGAGATCAGAGAGCTTACTGGGAGCACAAGCCATATCTGGAGACTTAAATTTAAACACTTAAAAGGTAATTGAATAATTGCTGAAGTCTGAAAGATTAAAAACCCCTGGGAGCCAGGTTTTGGAGGGCAATACCCATGTTTTTATGAGTTTTACCTCCAGGAGCTTCATCAAGCTCTCAGGGTCAAGGTCAGAGGAAAATTACCTCATGCTTCTGATACCAAGAAGGGAAGAGTAACTATTTTGAAATATACCTAGAGTGTTCTGTACCCTCAAAGGAAACTATTTTATCAGCTTCTAACCAATGTGAGTTTTACCAGAGCTTAACAAACCCATAAGGGAAAGTAAATACCCAACTCCTGCACCCTCTAGCCTTCTTTTCTCATGTAAGGGAGAAAAAAGCTAGAAAGTATTTGTAAAGATCATAGTCTAGAGTCATGGTCTCACTAAACCATTAAGACCTGGTAATAAGATTGTAGAGTACTTCCTTCCCTCCACCCACACTCTATCAATAGGGATCCTGTATAACCCGAGTTACAGCTGAGAGCAATTTCAGAGTACAAACTCTATTTAAGAAGGAGTCTCTAGAGAAGCCCAAAGACAACAAGGAAGAGAGAAACAAGGACACTAGAGTAAATGTTAGCCTCTAATACCTATAGGTACAGCGAATAGTAAACACAGTCTAATTCCTATCCAGATAAACGTAAAACCTCACTCTAAAAGGCCATATGCCTCAGTTCCTTCACTCTGATACAGTGTCTGGCTGTTAAAAAAAATTACAAGGTAATTTATAGATTCAATGCCATCCCCATCAAGCTACCAATGACTTTCTTCACAGAATGGGAAAAAACTACTTTAAAGTTCATATGGAACTAAAAAAGAGCCCACATCACCAAGTCAATCCTAAGCCAAAAGAACAAAGCTGGAGGCATCGTGCTACCTGACTTCAAACTATACTACAAGTCTACAGTAACCAAAACAGCATGGTACTGGTACCAAAACAGAGATATAGATCAATGGAACAGAACAGAGCCCTCAGAAATAACGCCACATATCTACAACTGTCTGATCTTTGACAAACCTGAGAAAAATAAGCAACGGGGAAAGGATTCCCTATTTAATAAATGGTGCTGGGAAAACTGGCTAGCCATATGTAGAAAGCTGAAACTGGATCCCTTCCTTACACTTTATACAAAAATTAATTCCAGATGGGTTAAAGACTTAAACATTAGACCTAAAACCATAAAAACCCTAGAAGAAAACCTAGGTATTACCATTCAGGACATAGGCATGGGCAAGGACTTCATGTCTAAAACACCAAAAGCAATGGCAACAAAAGACAAAATTGACAAATGGGATCTAATTAAACCAAAGAGCTTCTGCACAGCAAAAGAAATTACCATCAGAGTGAACAGGCAACCTACAAAATGGGAGAAAATTTCTGCAACCTACTCATCTGACAAAGGGCTAATATCCAGAATCTACAATGAACTCAAACAAATTTACAAGAAAAAAACAAACAACCCCATCAAAAAGTGGGTGAAGGAAATGAACAGACACTTCTCAAAAGAAGACATTTATGCAGCCAAAAAACACATGAAAAAATGCTCGCCATCACTGGCCATCAGAGAAATGCAAATCAAAACCACAATGAGATACCATCTCACACCAGTTAGAATGGCAATCATTAAAAAGTCAGGAAACAACAGGTTCTGGAGAGGATGTGGAGAAATAGGAACACTTTTACACTGTTGGTGGGACTGTAAACTAGTTCAACCATCATGGAAGTCAGTGTGGTGATTCCTCAGGGATCTAGAACTAGAAATACCATTTGACCCAGCCATCCCATTACTGGGTATATACCCAAAGGACTATAAATCATGCTGCTATAAAGACACATGCACACGTATGTTTATTGCGGCACTATTCACAATAGCAAAGACTTGGAACCAACCCAAATGTCCAACAATGATAGACTGGATTAAGAAAATGTGGCACATATACACCATAGAATACTATGCAGCCATAAAAAATGGTGAGTTCACGTCCTTTGTAGGGACATGGATGAAGCTGGAAATCATCATTCTCCGTAAACTATCGCAAGGACAAAAAACCAAACACCGCTTGTTCTCACTCACAGGTGGGAATTGAACAATGAGAACACATGGACACAGGAAGGGGAACATCACACTCTGAGGACTGTTGTGGGGTGGGGGAAGCGGGGAGGGATAGCATTAGGAGATATACCTAATGCTAAATGACGAGTTAATGGGTGCAGCACACCAGCATGTCACATGTATACGTATGTAACTAACCTGCACATTGTGCACATGTGCCCTAAAACTTAAAGTATAATTAAAAAAAAAACTTTAAAAAATTTAAAAAAATTACAAGATATACTGAAAGGCAAAAACAAAGCAAAACAAAAAACAACAAAGAAAACACAGTCCAAACAGACAAACCAAACAGCAGAACCCAATTTAGATATGGTGGAGATTTTGGAATTATACTGGGAGATCAAAATGGAAAATATGGACAACATGTGGGAACAGATGGGTAACATAAGCTGAGAAATGGAAACTCTAAGAAATAATCAAAAGAAAATGCTAGCAATAAACAACACTGTAACAGAAATGAAGAGTGCCTTTAATGGGCTCATGAGTAGACTGGATATTTCTATGGAAAAAGAATCAGTGAGCTTGAAAATATGCTCTTAGAAATTTTCAGAACTGAAATGCAATGAGAAAAAAATAAGGAAAATGATGGAAGAGAATATTCAAGAAGTGTGAGACAACTACAAGAGGTGTAACATATAAGTAATGGCATTACCAGAGGAGAAGGAAGAAAGGGAAAGAAGAAGAAATATTTGAAATAGTAATGACTGAGAATTTTCCAAACTTAATGACAGACAGTAAACCAAAGATCCATGAAATTCAAGCTCATGAAGCTCAAATCATGAACATCAAGCAGCATAAATACAAATAGACTATATTTAGGTATATAATATTCAAACTGAGGAAAATCTAGGATATTAGGCATATCATATTCAAACTGAAGAAAATCTGATAAAAGAAGAGAAAACATCTTACCTAGAAAGGAACAAGGATAAAAATTTTATCAGACTTCCCTTCAGAAACCATTTAAGCAAGAAAAGAGTAGAGTGAAATATTTAAAGTGTTGAAAGGAAAAAAGACAACCTAGAATTCTGACTTCAGCAAAGGTAAAGGTAAAATAAAGATTTTCTCAAACCAAAATTGGGGAAATTTTTACTAATAGACGTGCCTTACAAGATATATTAGTATTTTAGGGAAAGGAAAATAACATAGGTCAGAATATTTTATCTGCATAAAGAAAGAGTGTCAGAAAAAGAATAAATTAAAGTGAAATTGAATCTTGTATTTTTTTAAATTGATCTAACTGATAACATTTGTTTAAAACAATAACAACAATATATAGGGTGACTATAGCTTATGGATAAGTGAAATGAATGACACCAATGTTCTAAGGGATGTGAGGGAGAATTGGGAATACTTTATTATAAGATACTCTTACTACCCATGAAGCAATATAGTGGTATTTGAAAATAGACTTCGATTGTGCAAATTACTTTATAATTTGTGTAATATCAATTATCTATTGTTTTAAAAAAGGCAAAATAAAGTATTTCTAAGCCTTCTTCATATTCAAGGCCAAGTCTCCTGATCAGTTTTCAATTCAGTCTCTGATATACACAGTATGGTCCTTCCAGTTATCAATAATATGGTGATGCAATGTATCTTAAAGAAAGTCATAGAAGTAAAACCAAATGGTGCTGGCATTTAACCTGGCTTTGGAATTACTATATGTAGTTAATCTACTTTGGACTCTTCATTTAGGAATTTTGGAATGCTGCTAAACTTGTCTGATGCACCACCTTCTAACTCCTTCCCACATCCATTTGGTTCTTGGGTATAAAATGAGTGGTGCTCTTATTGTGTCCAGGTTTTGCTTCTATACTGCTGAAACCTATTCTATAAGTTTTAATCCATGCACTGTTAATATTTGCACATACAGAGGCAATGATGACTGCTTGACCCTCACATGATACCAATAATTGTAAGATACATTCCAATTTTAGAAATATTAAAATTTAGAAAGAAGTGTTCATTGTAGAATTGATGAAACAAAGTAAATTATTTGGATGACTCCTGTGCTTAAACCTCCTGTATTAATCTGTTTTCTTGCTGCTGATAAAAAGATACCAAAGACTGGGCAATTTACAAAAGAAAGAGGTTTAATGGACTTACAGTTCCACGTGACTGGGGAAGCCTCACAATCATGGTGGAAGGCAAGGAGGAGCAAGTAACATCTTACATGGGTGACAGCAGGCAAAGAGAGAGCTTGTGCAGGGAAAACCCTCCTTATAAAACCATTAGATCTCTTGAGACTTATTTACTATCATGAGAACAGCATGGGAAAGACCTGCCGCCACGATTCAATTACCCCCAACTTGTCCCTCCCACAATACCTGGGAATTCAAGATGAGATTTCAGTGGGGACACAGCCAAACCATATCATTCTGCTCCTGTCCTCTCCCAAATCTCATGTCCTCATATTTTAAAACCAATCATACCTTCCCACAGTCCCCCAAAGTCTTAAATCATATGGGCATTAATTCACCCTAAGTCTACAGTCTGAAGTCTCATCTGAGACAAGGCAAATCCCTTCCACCTTTGAGCCTGTAAAATCAAAAGCAAGTTAGTTACTTCCTAGATACAATGAGGGTACAGGCATTGGGTAAATGCAGCCATTCCAAAGGGGAGACATTGGCCAAAACAAAGGGGCTACAGGCTCCATATGAGTCCAAAATCCAGTGGGGCAATCAAATCTTAAAGCTCCAAAGTAATCTCTTTTGACTCCATGTCACATCCAGGTCACACTGATGCAAAAAGTGGATTCCTATGGTCTTGGGCAGCTCCACCCCTGTGGCTTTGCAGGGTACAGCCTCACTCCTAGCTGCTTTCACAGGCTGGCATTGAGTGTTTTCAGCTTTTCCAGGTGCACAGTGCAAGCTGTTCATGGGTCTACAATTCTGGGGTCTGGGGGATGGTGGCCCTCTTCTCGCAGCTCCACTAGGCAGCACCCCAGTGGGGACTCTGTGTGGGGGCTCCAACCTCACATTTCTCTTCTGCACTGCCCTAGCAGAGGTTCTCCATGAGTGCCCCACCCCTACACCAAACTTCTGCCTGGACATCTGGGTATTTCCATACATCCTCTGAAACCTAGGCAGAGGTTCCCAAACCTCAATTCTCAACACCACGTGGGAGCTGCCAAAGTTTGGAGCTTGTACCTCTGAAGCCACACCCTGAGCTGTACCTTGGCCCATTTTAGTCATGGCTGGAGTGGCTGGGACAAAGAGTACCAAGTCCCTAGGCTGCATACAGCAGAGGGACCCTGGGCCTGGTCCACAAAACCATCTTTTCCTCCTAGACCTCCAGGACTGTAATGGGAGGGGCTGCTGTGAAGACCTCTGACATGCCCTGAAGACATTTTGTTCCTTATCTTGGTGATTAACATTCAGCTTCTCATTACTTATGCAAATTTCTGCAGCCAGTTTGAATTTCTCCTCAGAAAATGGGATTTTATTTTCTATTGCATTGTCAGGCTGCAAATTTTGCAAACCTTGTGCTCCCTTTTAAAACTTTCCCTTTTAAAACTGAATGCCTTTAACAGCAACCAATTCACCTCTTGACTGCTTTACTGCTTAGAAATTTCTTCTGCAAGATACCCTAAATCATCTCTCTCAAGGTCAAATTTCCACAAATCTCTAGGGTAGGGGCAAAATGCCACCAGTCTCTTTGCTAAAACATAACAAGAGTTACTTTGCTCCATTTCCCAACAAGTTCTTCATCTCCATCTGAGACCACCTCAGCCTGGATTTAATTGTCCATATCATTACCAGCATTTTGGTTGAAGCCATTCAACAAGTCTCTAGGGAGTTCCAAACTTTCCCACATTTTTCTTTCTTCTTCTGAGCCCTCCAAACTGTTCCAACCTCTGCCTGTTACCCAGTTCCAAAGTTGTTTCCACATTTTTGGATATATTCTCAGCAGTGCCCCACTCTGCTGGTACCAATTTACTCTATTAGTCTGTTTTCAGGCTGCTGATAAAGACATACCTAAGACTGGGCAATTTACAAAAGAAAGAGGTTTAATGGACTTATAGTTCCGTGTGGCTGGGGAGGCCTCACAATCATGGTAGAAGGCTAGGAGGAGCAAGTCACATCTTACGTGGATGGCAGCAGGCAAAGAGAGAGAGAATTTGTGAAGAGAAACTCCCATTTTAAAAACCATCAGATCTCGTGAAATTTATTTACTATCATGAGAACAGAATGGGAAAGACCTGCCCCCATGATTCAATTATCTCTCACTGGGTCCCTCCAACAACAGATGGAAATTCAAGATGAGATTTCTGTGGGGACACAGCCAAACCAAATCACCTTCCCAGTTGATTGTGTGCTGAGCACTGTGATTTCCCAGTCTGATCTTCTATAAAGGAAGGCTTTGCTGCCCAGCTCCTAGAAGTGCTCAGAGGACAGTCTGCAACTGTCCGTCCATCTGGGGACTTCATAGTTGCAAAGAGACCCCATGTGCCAAGATAATTCCCCTTTCAGAGTGGCCCACATCCACTGACTGATGGAGGTAGGAGTATAAAGGCCTAGCTATATCTGCTCAGCATGTGGCCACTCTTACTGGCTGTGTTAGCTCCCTGTGGGGTTGGCTGAAGATGTTGGATCTTGCAGTCCAACTTCTCACTTAGCCCAATTTTGCCTCCCTCGCTGCTTCCCACAGGTATTAATCCCAAGGACATCCCCTAATAATCCTCTTATATACTGAACTTTATCTTGGAATCTGCTTCCTGGAAAATTCAAAATATTACAGCATTCTATGGCACTTGGAAAAAAGTCAAAACTTTGCTGGGTGCAGTGGCTCACACCTGGAGTCCCAACACTTTGGGAGGCTGAGGCTAGTGGATCACTTATGGCCAGGAGGTTGAGACCAGCCTGGCCAACATGGCAAATACCTGTCTCTACTAAAAATACAAAAATTAGCTGGGGTGATGGGACATGCCTGTAGTCCCAGCTACTTGGGAAGCTGAGGCATGAGAATCACTTGAATCTGGGAGGTGGAGGTTGTAGCACACTGAATTGCAGCCTGGGTGACAAAGTAAGACTCTGTCTCAAAACAAAACAAACAAAAACAAAAAACAAAAACTCAGCAAAACTCTTTCCATAGAACATACAGTTTTCCCCCTACTTCTTAGCTTCATCTCCTGCCACTATCTCCCTGGATTCCCAGGTTCTAGACATACTCACTGCTATGAACTCAATTGTGTCACCCTCGAAATTTAAATGTAGAAGCCCTAACCTTTAATGTGATGGTACTTGGAGATGCGGCCATTGGGAAGGATTAGATTTGGATGAAGTTACCAGGGTGGAGTGCTCATGATGGGATTAGTGCCCTTATAAGAAGAGAAACCAGAAAGCTTACTTCCTCTCTTTCTCTCTGTCAAGTGAGTACACAGCAAGAAGGCAACCATGAGCAAGCCAAGAAGAGAGCCCTCAAGGGGGAACCAAAAGGCTGGCTGGTACCTTGATCTTGGGGTTTCCAGCCTCCAGAATGGTGAGAAATAAATTCCTGTTATTTAAACCGTACCGTTTTCTGGTATTTTGTTACAGCATTCTAAGCTAACATAACACCTGCTTTCTACTTTTTGCAAATGTCAAGCTCATTCTCTCTTCTCCCCTGTTCTTTGCTATGTGTTATTCTTTCTGCTTAAGCACCTCTTAAGTGGTGCTTGTTTAGCAAGATCTCTGACCACCACATTCAAATTAGCACCACTCTCTTATTCTCTTCATAACATTTATAGCACTTATATTAAATCAACCAAATTACCATATTTGAGTATGAATTAATTTGTCACTTATGGGACTGCTTCTCTCACCTCCCTACATAAGAATATCAGTTCCATGAAGGCATGCCATAGCAGCTTAACAAATATTTGTTGAATGAATGAATGAATCATGATTTAGAAAGATGAATACGTATATGCTACCACCACCCCACTTAGTTCTATGTGATCTGAGAGGTCTGAGAAGACTGTTGCTTTAAGCCATGATTCTCTCAGATCTGGCTTGGCTTAGAAGAAGTTATGTACAAGACCTAATCATTAGCTATTTTATTTCTGTCATTGTTGTGAAGTGCTTGCCCAGTTAAGGTTTAAACACCAATTAGAAGATGCTGCAACAGCCATATTGTGAATTTCTCAGGGCAGTCTGAAAATTAACCCAGTATTTGGGGTGGCAGATGTCACTCAAACTGGGTTGTTTATTTAAAGGGCCCTCCTGAAGAAAGCAGTCTGGCCTGAATATCTTTCAGTGTGGATTGGAACGAGTCCTGGCCCTTCTCCTTCTGGTGGTTACTGTTCTGAAAGACATCCAATTGCAGCACTCTACAAATAGTTTAGTGAAAAATGCCGAGAGCATCTCTTTATCTTTATCTTGTGTTCTTGCTAAACTGACTGAGTTCAATATCAGCTTCTGGAAAGCATTCTAATAATCTCCAAAGTGTTTAAGAAGCATTACTCACATTATCACAGAAACATGTCTTGCTCCAGAAATGTATTTACTGTTCTTTTTAGAAACACAGATGCATTGTAGGTAAATAATACAAAACAGTTACTTTCTTGCCAAGGGAAAATGCCGTTTTTGTATTTATCTATTTAAGAAGCAAATGAAATCACTCATGCTGGAGGAAGATGTATGATAGATGAAGATCTTAGACTTGCTCACTTCTTAATCTCTATATTTATTCATAACTATATTTTCAAGTTTATCTTTTTTTGGTTTAACTGTGGAAGTCCTATCTTCTTTTAAGTCAGCCTGGTTTTAACAAACAAAAATATATTATCTTAACTCTTCCATGGTTAGGAGTCATGGCTTCTGTTAATTGACCATCTGGCCGCACGCTAGGAAAAAGGTAAGCTTGTGTAAGTCTTGGAAGGAGGAATTTAAAGTCTCAGCATTTAGAGATTATCTATTACTTTATAAAGTTTTAACTTGTTTGAAATATCAAATTGTGAATGATTACCCTTTGATGAGAGAGAATTTGAATGAATCAACAGTGGCAGCAAAGAGCATGCCTCTTCTTGCTTTCTTCCCTCTATTTCATGATATAACAGCCATACCATTTACAATTAGATGGTCATTTTCAAAACGGCAGTTTTTTTTTTTAGTTTGTTTTCTTGAGACGTAGTCTCTGTCACTAAGGTTGGAGTGTGGTGGTTTGATCATGATGCACTGCAGCCTTGAACTCCTGGGCTCAAGTTGTCCTCCCGCCTCAGCCTTCCTACTAGCTGGTACTACAGGCTGGCACCACCATGCCTGGCTAATTTTTTTTTGTGTATATATATATATATATATATATATATATATCAGATATGGGGTTTCATCATGTTTCCCAGGCCAGTCTTGGACTCCTGAGCTTAAGCAATCCTCTTGATTCGGCCTCCCAAAGTGCTGGTATTACAGGCGTAAGTCACTGCACGTGGCCTAGAATGGCAATGTTTTAAGTATGCTGAATCATTCTTGTTGCACCTCAACTACACGTGCATGATTTAATGTCTCTCCTGTGGTTGAAGCAATTTAACCTTCAAGTTATTGATGGAAATCTACAAAATACTTAACATGAGCCAAGTGCCTGGCCCATGGTATGTACTCAAGAAATGAATATTGAATGAATTTGTCCTACTTCTTCAATTCTGTTTCCAATATTGAAATTGCATGTAAATTCCATTGAGACTCACTGCTCCGGAGGTTAGGGTGGGGAGAGGCATTTTCAATCTGGATCTTCCCAGTATATTTGCCAAAGAGCTCTAAGTGAAGTCAAAGCAGCAGGCTAAGGTAGAAACCCTTGATATTGTTGTTGGATTCATCTTGGATATAAAAGGAGGGGAAAGTAGTTTAATATGGGAGTTCTGCTGATTCTCACAGGGGCTTTTCTCTTCTGTGCATAGGCCTAGAATCTATGGAGACCCAGGTGTATGAGCTGGTTTGAAATGGGTGTGCAGATTTCTGAGCCCGAGGCATTTCTTGTTCTGCTCTGTAGTTTCATAGAGAAAATCCAAGAATGAATCAGTGGGAGGTTTTGAGGTTGATGGAAGCTACATTTTGGGCTCAGCTGTATGAGAGGAGGGAACAGTAAGAATTGCTGGCCCACTGATGTGGTGTTGAATCTGCGTGGCATATGTTATCTGACATCACAATCCTGGAACACTCTTAATGGCTGCCAGAAAAATATAAAATCTAATGGAAAAGTAATCCACTGAACCAGAATGAATCAGCTGTTCATTCCTCCTCTATTGGAATTTATCTTAAAAATGGAAATTAAGCCTGAATTCATATAATTTAGAAACTCAAAGCAAGAAATAGAAAAGCTCTTAAAGGATCATTAATCTGTCCCTCTTGCATATCTAGTTAGTTACATAGATTTTATGAAAGAATTTGGAATATAGATGAATCTTTAACTTACAGTTTTTCTTTTTTGAAGAGATCTATTGCTCTCATCTAAGTGGTTCAATGTTTCATTGACACTCATTAATCTCTGTTACATCCTGTGAGTTAGGTAAGTGGAAAATATTTTTCTTCCACTTGTACAACACAAAGTCCTATGATGAACTCCTCTATGAATTTCCACATTCACCCTCTGGGCTTGGAAGCTAAGTATCCATTAGCTGTGCACTCCACCTCCCTCTTCTTCTCTCTACCTGAATCATGGACAGTTCACTTTTTATGAAAAACTGGTTTTGGCATGGGGTCATGATTAACATATTTGCATGATTATTGCTGGCACAGAGCATGACGGTTAGACATGTGCACTGCATTTACCTCTTGCAAAAGCTGGAATAATGTAAATGGCATATAATCATAAGACTGATATGAAGATTAAGTGGGATTTATAGAAAACATCAAAGTTCCTGGCACATGCTAAGTGTTTCATATAAATGTTCAACAGAAATGCCAATACTAATGGTCTAGAGCTGGCTGTGCTTTCTAAAGATGTTAATTGGGTTTTTAAGTTTTAAGTATTTTTAAAATTATAATGTCTTAATTCAGGCTGCTATAACCCAATACCATGGAGTGGGTGGCTTCAGCAACAGAAATTTATTTTTCATGGTTCTGGAGGCTGGGAAGTCTAAGATCAAGGTGCCAGAAGATCTGGTGTCCTGGTGTGCAGATGGCTGATTCCTTGTATCCTTACAGAATAGAGAGCAGAGAGCTGGAGCAAGCTCTCGAGTATCTTTTTCTAGGGGCATTAGTCCCATTCATGAGAGCTTTACCCTCATGATCTGTGTACCCACTAAGGGCCCCACCTCCAAATTACCATTACATTGAAGATTTGGATTTCAATATATATATTTTGAAGGGACATATTCAGTTCATGTGAAAAGAAGAAATTTCTTCATTTGAATATAATACATAGAAAGGACATTGCAACAATATGAATAGTTTTTTTTTTTTGTTTTTGTTTTTGTTTTTTTTTTTTTGAGATGGAGTCTCACTCTGTTGCCCAGGCTGGAATGCAGTGGTGCAATCTTGACTCACTGCAACCTCCACCTCCCAGGTTCAAGTGATTCTCCTGCCTCAGCCTCCTGAGTAGCTGGGACTACAGGCATGTACCACCATGCCCGGCTAATTTTTGTATTCTTAGTAGAGATGGGGTTTCACCATGTTGGCAAAGCTGGTCTGGAACACCTGACCTTGTGATCCGCCCACCTCAGCCTCCCAAAGTGCCGGGATTACAAGTGTGAGCCACCGTGCCTGGCCATCTCTTTTCTCAATATTATATTGTATTATTTGTCTATTGTCTTTCACCATTTCACATGATCAGTGACTTCCCAAAAATTTCAATTGAAAGGAGTGTGTAGTGAACTTGAGAGTATAGGACAATGAGATATGTAACTGCCTATGTTCCATTGCTACTTTGAGCAGAATCCTCTGGAAACACTATGGAGTGATGGAGAAAGCACCATCTGGGGAGTCAGATGACCTGCTCTCTATCCCAGCTCATCAGGGAGTCTCTGAGACAAACACTTACCAGGTTAGAATTTGAAGCTCTTTATCTGTAAAGTAGAAAAAATGGTAATACTTGCTGTATAAACCTCATGAGGTTGCTGTAATGTCCCAATGAGATAATATATGGGAAAGTACTCTGTAAACTCTAACCATTTTAAAAGTAAAAGCATCACTGTGGGTGGAGACTCATAAGTAGATTCTTCCCAAAAAAGATAGTCAAAAGGTAGCAGTTGTTTTAGAGAATCTTCCACATATGATGACATTATTCACTACTGTCATTTGAAATTTTATGAAACAACAAGTTATTAGTTTCCTGATACATTAAACAATTTTAATCTGTTTTCACTTTATGAGATCCCAACTTTAGTGACCTTTTTAACAAGAAACTTCTATCATATTACGGGAAAAAGTGAGAAATCGAGTTCATAGACTTAAAAAATTGTCATTTTAGCTAACTCTGAATGCAGATGTACAGGAGACATTGCAGTTTAAGTTTCCCAATACCTAGCATTAGAGAGTAAAAATTTAGACCAAATTCCTAGACAGTATGTCAATAATGAATAAAGCTTGATTCCTTTTTTTTTTTTTTTGAGACGGAATCTCACTCTGTTAGCCAGACTGGAGTGCAGTGGCACGATCTTGGCTCATTGCAACCTCCACCTCCCGGGTTCAAGCGATTCTCCTGCCTCAGCCTCCCAAGTAGCTGGGACTACAGGCACATGCCACCACGTCCAGCTATTTTCTACTAAAAATATAAAGCTTGATTCTTAACTGAATAATGTATAACAGTGTTAGAACACACAGATGACTATGTTAGGATTAATAAATGATGTTGAATTATCAGACTGCAAAACAAATTGCTGTGATTTTTGGAGACACAAATGTCATTAGCTTGTACATGTTAGAAATAATGTACATATATATATCATGCTTTCATTCAACAAACATTTTTCTGATCACGTTCTTTATGGCAGGCACTGCGTAAGTCCTAGGGAGACAAAGGAATACATAGTACCGTCCCTCTATTTTGGTGGTTTTAACCAAGGTAAATCATGGTGTATTTTTAAAAAATCGTATACACTTCTAGGATTCAGATTCAGTAGCCCTGCAGTGCGAACTGGGAAAGTAGAGTAAGAAACACATCACTCATAATAGAAACAGCTTCCCTGAGGTTTTGATGTGTCACTCTGGTTAATAATCACCAATCACCACCACTAATAGGTGTGGAGAGACACAGCGTGGTAAAAACAATTTCTGAGATGTGGAAAGGATATTAGGGAATCCCAAGTAGGGACATTTCATGTGTCCTCAGAAGGAGCTGAGTAGGGACGGATTCTGGGAAAGGTGACTCCTAACCTTTCCAATATTTTTTCTAATCACAAACCTAATGCAGTAAACCAATGAAGAACACAAGAAGCAAAAATCATCCATTATTTACAGTTTTGATATTCTTAAATTTTGCTATTACATATATAGAGTGAATTTTCTTTTCTTAACTATTCCATTTTTAATTGTATAGATTTTTGAATTTAAGGTCTTTAATCACTCTGTCATTCAGGGAAATATGTCATAATTACCTTCAAGTATTTCTCTCATCTATTTCTTTGTTATTTCTGGGATTTCTATTATGTATATGTTGGCATCAACATATTGTTTATAGATTCTGGAATTTATTCATTTATTGCATTATGTTTTCAGCTATCGTATTCAGTCTAAGACGGGATAAGAGATGAATATTCGATATTCAGTATTTCTACTTGGCTTTTCTTTTCGGCTTTGAGTTCCTGTTTCATATGACCACTAACCTGTTCTATTAGTTTGAGAATTTAATTCTTATTCTTATTCTTACATTATGTAATAAAGCTCTTCTTTATAGTAAATGCACTTGGTATTAGTTATACATTGCTACAAACAAATTAATGACAAATTATCTTAAAATTTAGTGGGTTTAAGAAACAGTAATTTTTTTTTCCTTTTCATGATTTCTGTGGGTCAGGAATTCAGACACTGTACAGGGAGATAACTTGTTTCTACTCCACCTTGTTGGAGACCCCAGCTGGAAGGCTTGAAGCTTGGGGACTAAAATCATGTGAATTGCATTCACTTGCATTTCTGGTGGTTGGTACAGGTGTTACCTGGAGGCCTAGCTGGGGCTGTTTACAAGAATCCACATGTGACCTCTCTATGTGGCTTCAGATTCCTCACAACACGGTGAGACTCCGTGGATGGGCGTATGGTGCAATTTGTTGAGGGAAAGAGAGAGAACGAGAGAGAGAGAAAGAGAGAGAGAGAGAAGGAACGAACCCGGCAGAATTGTATTCCTTTCTTTTTTTTTTTTTTTTTTTTTTTTTTTAAAAAGAAACAGGCTATTGCTATGCTATGTTGCCCAGGCTGGTCTGGAACTCCTGTCCTCAACTGATCCTCCCATTATGCCCCCAACCTCCGCCTATGTAGTTGGGATTGTAGTCTATAGACCTGTACCTGTGTTCTTGTCTTGACCTAGCCTTGCAAGTCACATAGCCTCACTTTTGTTCTACTCCATTGTTTGATGTAGGCAGGAGTCTGCCCAAATTCAAGAGGAAAGAACATAGACCACATATCTTGGTGGGAGGGATGTCAATTACATTGTAAGATGAGCATATGGGAATGCATAAATATATAGGTGTGTGCATCTTTGTAAAACACAATTGTTCACATATTCCTTATTGTCTAGCTATTTTTGCCTATGAGCTCAGCTTCCCCTGAGGCTATAACTATACTTTCTGTAATATGTAAGGAGGTGTGGTGAACCTAAGTGCTAGCTTGTACGTCTTTTGGTGAGTTTAAGGAAAAAAAAAAACAGAGATGCGCTCTTTCTTTTTGTACAGGTGGAAGTTTCCAGAAGATTACTCTTTTGTTTTCCTGTAAGAGATTCTCATAGATTAGTACTTTGGATTCAAGGTTTCTCCTTTCAATACTATTTGCTTCATAATTAAAACATTTTCAGAAGAATTCAACAGTCCAAGCTAGTTCTTTGTCTGTTGGGAACCAGAGGTTACCCATTATCCTTATTTTTCTAAATAGTTTGGAATTTTAGTTTTGTTTTCTTCTTTGCCCTAGGAATTATTTAGTACAGTGTGGTTTTGTTTTCTAAAATTTTCGATTGGATTTCAAAATGTATACTTTAAAAGCTTTTCTTTTTAAAAAAATTTATTAAACTTTAAGTTCTGGGATACATGTGCAGAACGTGCTGATTTGTTACATAGGTATACATGTGCCACGGTAGTTTGCTGCACCCATCAACCTGTCATCTAAGTTTTAAGCCCCACATGCATTAGGTATTTGTCCTAATGCTCTCCCTCCCCTTGTCCCCTACCCCGCAACAGGCCCCTGTGTGTGATGTTCCCTTCCCTGTGTCTATGTATTGTCATTGTTCAACTCCCACTTATGTGTGAGAACATGCAGTGTTTGGTTTTCTGTTCCTGTGTTAGTTTGCTGAGAATGATGGTTTCCAGCTTCATCCATGTCCCTGCAAAGGATATGAACTCATCCTTTATTATGGCTGCATAGTATTCCATGGTGTATATGTGCCACATTATCTTTATCAAGTCTGTCATTGATAGGCATTTGGGTTGGTTCCAAGTCTTTGCTATTGTGAATAGTGCTGCAATAAACATACATGTGCATGTGTCTTTATAATAGAATGATTTATAATCCTTTGGATATATACCCAGTAATGGGATTGCTGGGTCAAATACTATTTCTGGTTCTAGATCATTGGGAATGGTCACACTGTCTTCCACAATGGTTGAACTAATTTACGCTCCCAACAACAGAGTAAAAGTATGCCTATTTCTCCACATCCTCTCCAGCATCTGTTGTTTTCTGACTTTTTAATGATTGCCATTCTGACTGGCGTAAGATGGTATCTCATTGTGGTTTTGATTTGCATTTCTCTAATGACCAGTGATGATGAGCTTTTTTTCATATGTTTGTTGGCCGTGTAAATGTCTTCCTTTGAGAAATATCTGTTCATATTCTTTGCCCACTTTTTGATGGGGTTGTTTGTTTTTTTCTCGTAAATTTGTTTAAGTTTGTTATAGATTCTAGATATTAGCCCTTTGTCAGATGAATAGATTGCAAGAATTTTCTCCCATTCTGTAGGTTGCCTGTTCACTCTGATGATAGTTTCTTTTGCTGTGGAGAAGCTCTTTAGTTTAATTAGATCCCATTTGTCAATTTTGGCTTTTGTTGCAATTGCTTTTGGTGTTTTAGTCATGGAGTCTTTTCCCATGCCTATGTTCTGAATGGTATTGCCTAGGTTTTCTTCTAGGGTTTTTATGGTTTTATGTTTTATGTTTAAGTCTTTAATTTACCTTGATTTAATTTTTGTATAAGGTGTAAGGAAGCGGTCCAGTTTCAGTTTTCTACATATGGCTAGCCAGTTTTCCCAGCACCATTTGTTAAATAAGGAATCCGTGCTTGTTTTTGTCAGGTTTGTCAAAGATCAGATGGTTGCAGAAGTGTGGTGTTATTTCTGAGGCCTCTGTTCTCTTCCATTGGTCTATATATCTGTTTTGGTACCAGTACCATGCTGTTTTGCTTACTGTAGCCTTGTAGTATAGTATGAAGTCAAGTAGTGTGATGCATCTAGCTTTGTTCTTTCTGCTTAGGATTTTCTTGGCTATATGGGCTCTTTTTTTGGTTCTATGTGAAATTTAAAGTAGTTTTTTCGAGTTCTGTGAAGAAATTCAATAGTAGCTCAATGGGAATAGCATAGAATCTTTTTTTTTTCTTTTAGCAATCTACATGTTATTGTATTTTTTATCGTATGACTTTGGTCCCATTGCCATAACTGTTTGGACTAGAGGTGTCTGAAACTAACTCATAAATTTATAGACTGAATACCAATCTATATGGTGGCATGAAAAATAAAATGAGTTGAGCCAATTTATCTCTTTTGCAAGTATGAACTAAGAAAATCTAAGTAAATAATCCAGATAGCCTTGCAATAGTTGGTTGAAAATTCATAAAGAAGAATCAGAACTCTATCAGTTTTGATGTGGTGCCTTACAGACTAAGTAAAGAGGAAACAGAATGTAAGAGTAAGTAGAGGACACCAGTTGGTAACTAAAGGTCATACTGCACGACAGAGAACTTGCCACCTGTGTAGAAGGTAGAACAAGTAAGATTAATAGCATTGTCTCAGTTACTGGTGTCATTACGGTCCAACACCATGAAAATGCTTAATATAAGCATTTATTTTTAATTTATTTACTTTACTTACACATTTGTTCGTTTATTTTCTTGACATAATTTCTTGAGATAAGATTTTGTTACAACTAAAAGAATGTAGTCTGAAGGCTTAATAGAAGTTTTTCTTTATTTTATATGTTTGGTTCTCTTAGGGAGGGTGTGGTGATTAGATACCCATGCTCATTTCTTCTGCTTTTGTGAAGGTTACCTGAGAAGTGGCATGCATGCTTGAAGGGTAGATGGGAGAATATTTAGGCAAGGAAAGTAGTGGCGAGAAAGGCACAAAAGCAAGAAGCAGCAGGATATGCCTTGGCAATTAAAGCATTATGGTGTTTTGTGAATATGAATTAAGCAAATAGCAGGAAGAAATGAGTTATTCTGCCTCCATGTAAAGCAGAATAATGTTTTGAAGTGGTTTGTGTTTTGTTCTTGCTGATATTCAGAGATACAAATTAGATGCATTTTCCTTCCCCTCTCCATCCAGTTAGCTCATTCCTTTGTTCGTTCCTTCCTCCAACAACTGTGTCACTCTCCACCCATTTCCCCACTCCTATAACTTCTCCATCCCTTCTTTCACTACCTCCTCCCATGCAGCCTACAAACCATCTCATTTACCTCACTTAAAAATCAAGAAAAAAGAACATTCCTTTCTCTCTATTCTACTACTTCATTTTACACCTTTTGGTCTTCACCAAACACATTGAAAAAAATGGTCTAGACTCACTTTGTCTCTTCCCAATCAACCATTAACCTGCAATCAAGTTTCTGACTCTATGACTTAAAGCACTTGACACATTGTATTATAGTTTATTTTATCCCCTGCTAGACAGTGTGTGCCTTAGAGGCATGGAGGACTGTCTCTCAGCATACGTAGTATCTGGCACAAAATGTGTACTTAAGAAAATCAACAAACATTGTATGATGAAGCCTGATTCATTCTTCACTTAAGCTTACAAAACTAAATTTATATTTCCTTGGCTTAGATGGTGACAGAAATGCAATACATCCTTTTCTAGGTTTATTTTATGTATCTATATTGTACTTTATTTTTCTTAAAATTCAGTAGGATTGTCTGCCCCTCTGTCTGTCTGTCTGTGTATCTTTCTGTCTGTATATACTTACCTACCTACCTTCCTGTCATGTATCTATCATCTAAAAATGATAGGTTATACATCCATGTTTATTTAAACCCTGAATTTTTATCAAGTTTACATAAATTGTCTTAATAATTGTATACTCTGATGATTCTCAACCCAAGGTAATTTGTACTACAGATTCAGGTAGATGGTACTTTCCCATGAAGATAGTTCCCATTAATGCAGGGATAGAGCACCAGCATCACACAGGCCAAAGTGGCTCAGGAGGTTGGACAGAACATAGTAACCACTTGCTATTCCTGCACAAAGTGTTTGTGTCACATTATTTCATCTGTAGTTTGTGTCACATTATTTCATCTCTAAAAAGAAGATACTGCTAATCTTCTTTTAGCAGTTTTAGGGGGCCAGGTGCAGTGTAATCCCAGCAATTTGGGAGGCTGAGGTGGGAGGATTGCTTAAGCCCAGAAGTTCACGACTACACTAGGCAACATAGGAAGACCTCATCTCTACAAAAAATTTTAAAAATCGGGCATTTTGGTGCCTGCCTATAGTCACAGCTACTTGGGAGGCTGAGGCAAGAGGATTGCTTGTGCCCAGGAGGTGAAGGGTGCAGTGAGTTGTGACTATACCACTGCCCTCCAGCCTGGGCAACAAAGTGAGACCCTATCTCAAAAACAAAATCAAAGAGAAGATTGTACGTGGTACCAATAGCAAAATAAATAAAGATGTTCCTTATCTGGAGATATTTTTCTAGTAGGAACACATACATAAGCATATCACCAGAAAAATGTACACACAATAATTTGGGGGTTGTGTCCTCCACCAAACAATTGTTGAAGTTATTATGAGATCTTGAATGAGATGCAGTTTATCTGGAAAGACTCTATTGAAGAGGTCAATTTTAAGTCATGTAAAGTGTTTGCATCTTTATTCAAGAGAAGGAGCGCCTGACGTTGAAGGAGGGAAAGGACTTTAGGATAGAGAGAAAGGTATGTTAGCTCACAATGAAAGTGAGCAAGCTGGTAGACAGTTTTGATGTTGCCAGTTATTGTTGGTAAGAAGGAGTTCTCGATCATTTCTTAGCTGAGAAAAAAGTCCTGAAAATGAGTAAACACTGACAGGCAGAAAGTTTGAGTCTTGAAATACAATTACATATATAAGACTGAAAAGGAAAAGAAATAGGCTGGGCGTGGTGGCTCACGCCTGTAATCCCAGCACTTTGGGAGGCTGAGGCAGGTGGATCAAGAGGTCAAGAGATCGAGACCATCCTGGCCAACATGGTGAACCCTTGTCTCTACTAAAAATACAAAAATTAGCTGGGCTTGGTGGCGTGCCCTGTAGTCCCAGCTACTCAGGAGGCTGAGGTGGGAGAATCACTTGAACCCAGGCAGTGAGCCAAGATCATGCCATTGCACTCCAGCCTGGCAATAGAGCAAGACCCCATTAAGAAAAAAGAAAGAAAGAAAGAAAGAAAGAAAGGAAGGAAGGAAGGAAGGAAGGAAGAAAGAAAGAAAGGAAAGAAAGGTACGTATGTGACATAGCCCATGACCATGAAGAAGAATAACGATGTAATGAAGTTTTATGTTTGTGATCTAATTGTGATGCTCATGGGGACATTGGGCTGGGTCCTGACAAAACCTTTGTATCTGATAACAAAATGAATGGACAAGACATTAAAGTAGAGATGTTATTTAGAAAACCAAATGTGTCATCCTATAAGACAGAAAGAGAGAAGGAGACCAAGAGAGATAGATAATAGTATTTGGGAAATTCTTATTTTAAAAATAATATTGAACAAAATGGGTAACTGAGTTACTTCAGAGAAAGAGAATGGGAGGGAAAAATGAGCATCTTGCAGCAACACCACAGGGACTAGGCTCTTTTCTTTCTAGGAAAGTCAGTAAAAGGCCCCACAGTAAATGGTTTTCTTGAAGTTTGCTGAGGTTTCTTAAAACAGTTGTCTTCAATTCTTTGAGTGATCACACATCTCCATTATTGTAGGATAGCGCTTTAGTGCGTTATTGCCCATCTGGTGAGGTCACATTTCCCTGAATGTTCTTGAGACTTGTGGACATGTGACAATGTCTACACGTTGAAGGATTAGGTATTTATTTGAGTCTTCATGGTTTGTCTTTGTGCCTGTCCTTGTTCAGAGGGCCTCCAGGGATTCTAATCAGACTGATTTGTGTTTCCTGAGGCCAAGATCATTATTGCAGTCATCACAGCACTAGAGGATACCCCTTGCCCAGCCTTGCTGAGAGCCTTGAGAAGGCTCTGGGGTTGATGTGACTTTCTGCTCAGGTGGACTCGAGGAAGATGCAAAGAGGGTACTGGGGCTGTATGGGAACACTGACCAAGGTCCTGAGTCTAGAAGACTGCCCTGGTTGTTCAGACAGGTGTGCTTCCCAGCAGATGTCTGCACAGGCAGATGGGTCCCCAATTGCAGTGAGAGCAGCCAGAGCTGAGATTGCTTGACAAAAATGTCACGCCCAGAGACCAACAGGAACCTAACCCTATTTTCCCCTTGGAGCAAAGCTTCAGTATTCACTAATTCAGTGTTGGTGACAACTTTATAGAACATAACTACCATAAATAATGAGAATTGACTATAAATGGACAAGTATTAAAATCAAACATCAAGCTGAATACAGATATTTTCGGATTTAAAACTCTAGCTATGAAGTGGTAATTATATTAAATACAATGTAAATTGGATTTAAAAACAGTTTCACTATTAATAATATACTTTGCAGAAACAGACAACTGTAAGTTTGCTGAAAAAGAAAAGCAAATTAAATCCCAGTTTTAATTTGTTTTTTGTAAAAGAGGAATTTTCTTTACCTTTTTAATATGTTTCTTAATTGAAACATATTTACTCTCAAAACAGCAGCAAGCTATCCAGGTTGCTATTCTAGACTTGCTATTTCTATCTTTAAAATGAGAAGTGAATAAAAATTAAACAAATTGTTGTTCAGCTAATAAACAATTAAGGAAGAAATAAAGTAAGGTAGGAATGAAGGAAGGAAGGAGGGAGAAAGAATAGACATAACACAAAGGAAAGCTTTCTGCTGGGCTCCCACCTCAAATTATTTTAATTTTTATTCACTTCTCATTTTAAATATTAGGCAAATATTGTGTGGATTTTTTCCCTTCAAATTCAAGACATATTTACAGAGTCAAAATACCATGAGATCAAACACCTGCAGCCCAGCACTGTAACTATTTTAAATCAAGAGAAGCACAAACCTGGAGAGCAGAGAAACCTGCTTTAAATCTGAGAGATAGCAGACAGCATTCCAACAGGACCACTGGGTGTCATTTTATCTACAGGGAAGTTTCGTCCAAGTGCTGTACATCATTCTGCTTTAGGAAAAGGGGAAAAATGTACAGAAGCACATGCAAGGATTGTAGCCACACCTCCTCCCCATGCAGGACACCACCACCCCTTTAACCAATCCCTTCTCCATTTTCTCTTATTTTAATTTTACTGTCATTGCTCTGCCCTCTGGGAATGAGGAAATCCAGGAGGATTCACAGGGATTCTAAGCCAGGGAAGGCTTTTTGCTTCTGTCTCAGGGAGCTGGTACTTCCTGGCTGATGTCCTCCTCAGGGTGAGAGGCAGCAATTGTATTTTCTCCTCCAAGGTCTGGGTGAATGTGGCATTTCAATTTGCTGGTATGACCCCCACCCTGTCCCTGATAAGGGTTGTCACCTGTGCTTGATGTCCTTCCCAGAACAAATGAGAACATGTAAGGGGGAGACACCAAGGAAGATGTTGGAGGAGAAGGCCAGATTCCTCATTTATTTATATGATATTAAAAAAAAAATTAAACCTTTGATTGTCTCCACTAATATAACTGCTCTGAAGCCCTGTGCCAGAGCTACTTATAGCCTCTGAGCATGGGTGTTGTCTTTGTTGGTCCCTCGATGCCCAGAAAAGACAGAGGAAATTGGTTCACTGCTCCTGAGGCTGCTCTAGCCCTTCCTCTTAGCCACAGGTGGGGCTGGACTTTTCTCACCTCTCTTGTGACTCCTCAAGTGGTGGGCTCCTGCCTCCTCTCAGGTATCCCATCTGTTTCAGTGCCCTGCCTGTTGCAAGCCTCCTGGCCCATGCTGGCCAGTTCTTCTCTTGTCAGGGAAGTTAGAGAAAGAAGCCACCTTCCTGCCCTCCTGCGTGTGGTGTGAAGAGAGGTGCCTTACAAGCAAGTGCCTTCATGGTGAGGATAAGCTCACAGGCTCAAGGAAGAAACACAATTGTAAGAACAACAATGGGGAAAAGGCAGGATCCAAGTATTTTGGTGAGTATAAAAGGCTACCTTAAAATAACTATCCACCTACCCATGCAGAGTGGAGTGTAGACACAGAAACCAGGACAAAAACTGTTCACAGGGTGCCCTAGGCAAGGAAGGAAGCAGTTCAACCCGGGAGAAGGTAGGAGAGGGAATCTGGACAAATGATATTGTGAATGCCAAGATTATTGAGTGGACACTCAGCCAGGACTGATAGCTGAAAAGAGATGATTTGGGGACTTACAGAACTACTGTAGAAACAGAATCAGGTGATTGTCCAGAGTGACTTAAAATAAGGAGTCCCTAAGTGAGGACTCAGATGAATAAAGCAGTATTTTAATTACTCTCTTAGAATGGCCTATTTTTATGTAAAAATATGCTATATTTTCCCCCATGCCTCTGGTGAAACAGTTTGTGCTATAATCAGAATATCTAGCCTGAAAATAGTTTGCTATTCATGGCTACGCTATGAGATGGGATGTAGGTATAATGACCATTTCTTATTTTCAGGAAGCCTCAGTTTGTAATATTCTGGCCCTAAAAAAGAAAACATGTTTATCTAGCATGGTTTTTGATTTGGTACATCAGAATATGTGACCTATATATGGAGCATAAAAGAGAATAATAGTATTTCCAGAATCACAGTCGCAAGAAAGAGCTTCAAGACTCAGTGTGGCACCTGGAAAGCTGAGTCACGATGCTGTTGGTGTGGGCTCACACCTTGTGTGCACAGTGCACATGGCCATGTCTTGCCTCCAGCGGCAGAAGGCCTCATACTGTGTGGGGGGCACACAGCGGGTTGGGGGGGTTGCTCCACAGAGTAAAGAAAAGGCTCTTACCAGATGGAGAGCAGATTTCAGATGAAGATGACCCAATTAGCCTTGATTCCAGCATGTGCACAGATGCTATGACTGAAATAAAGTAGGAAGTGGCACTGGTGAAATGTTGCATAATGAAATACATAGGTTTTTATTAAAGAAAAATGTTGAGATTTTAAAAGGCTTTTAAAAAAGGCTTTTAAGGCTCGCCCCAATCGTGTGAGGCTTTTCCAAAAGGCTTTCCTTATTGATTAAAATGTAGCCTCCAGAATCCTACTCAATGCCCGAGTTCACATCTCAGCTTTATCACTCTGACCTTGGGCACGTTATGCATCCTCACTGCTCCTCAGTTTCTCATGTGTATACTATTGGTGTGATTATACCTAGAAAACAATTGGCACAGTGGCTTGGCACAGAAAAGACTTTCATCTAGTGTTAGTTATAATTATTTATGTATAAAACTAAATATGGAGAAAATTCACTTATTGTCTTCTCTTCCAATTGTTATTAATATGTTGACATCTTATTTTCTTATATATTTATTTGAGAAGGGTGTGATTCGAGATTTTTGTTTCCTTAAAGATACTTTGGTGATAACCAACTTAACTGCTAGTGCATAAATGGATCCTTGTGTAAGTGTGACTGCATGTTCATGATTGTGTAAATGAGTGATGGCTCTGGGTGTGTGTGCATGGTTGGATGAGTGTGTAAATCTGTGAGTGTATGAACCTGTGTGTATATACTGATAGATGTTGTATAAGTTTTCCGTGTGTATATACTGATAGATGTTGTATAAGTGTGTATAAACTGATAGATGTATAAGTTTGCTATAACAAATTACCACAAAGTTGGTGGCTTAAAGCAACAGAAATTTATTCTCTCACAACGCTGGAGGCCGAACCCTGAGATCAGTGTCACTGGGTTGCAGTCAAGGTGTTGGCAGGGCAGCACTCCATGTAGAGGCTCCAGGGGAGAATCTAATCCTTGCTCTTCCAGCTTCCGGGGACTGTGGGCAGTCCTTGAGTTGTGGCCACATCACTCCTGTCTCTGCCTCTGTCTTCACATGGCCTTGTCTTTTCTGTGTGTATGTGTGAAATCTCTTCCTGTCTCTCTCTTCTGAAGACACTTGACTTGTGATGCCATTTAGGGCCTATCTGGATAATCCAGGATAATTTCCCCCTCATCAGGTTATTAGTAATGTTAGCAAAGACCCCTTTTCCAAGTAAGGTAACAGGTACCAGGGGTTAGGACCTGATATCTTTGGGGGGGTTGCATTTTTCAGCCCACTATAGGTGTCTATGTTTATGTACATATGTGTGTATGGGGGCATATGGATGTGTACATATGTGAGTATGTACAGGTATATGTGTGATTGGTATGTGTGTGTATGCATGTGTGAGCGTATGTAAACATGTGAGTGTAGGTGTATATATGCGTATGTGTGATGGGTGTATGTGCATGCATGTGGGCCATTGGTGTGTATATATGCATGTGTGTGTGTATATATGCATGTGTATATGCATGTGTGTGTGGGCTATGGATGTGTATATGTACATGTATATACATGCATGTGTTTCTGCATTATGGGTGTGTGTTGGTATATAAATATGCATATGTGTAAGTATATGCGTGTATATATGTATGTGAATGAGTGATGGGTATGTACGTATATGTATATTTTTTATGGAAAGTAGGTTATCTGTCTGACCTTTGCCTAAAATATTTTATTACAGTTCTGAAATAATCAGTTGGAAGTATATTGTAATGAACCAGTACTCTCTTAACAGATGGTCAAATAAACACAATGTTTCTACCTTCCCAGAAATCATCTTAAGTACAAAATTGTTATGGTTTATGAGAAGAGAGCAACCCTGTTTAAATGCTAGTAAACAAGCAAGCACATACCTCTCTTACCTCTGTCTGAACCTCAGAAAGAGGACCCAAGTGGGAGTTCAATTTAATGAAAAATGCATTAGGAGCCATCCTGATGGCAAGGAGGATCTATTACTCATTTTAATCTCAGCCAACCAGGTAGATAGGCACTGGTCCATGAACCCTGGCTATGAAAAAAATGAGAGAAGGCTTAATGAAAGCCAGACAGTGGCCCTAAATGAGAGGTTTCAAGCTTTCTTTTTTTCTGCATTTAAAATCTGTCTGTGGAAATCACATTTGGGTTTTATGAGGACTGGAAGGTGTTATAATCTGCTTTGGAGTTTGGCATAAGGAAGAGACTAGGAAAGAGAGAGCCATGGTTAATTGCACTAGGGCAACTTTTAAAAGGCCTAATATGAATTTATATATGTTATCATATTATACATATGTTTTCAATAATTATTGTAAATATCTATATATGCTATAGAAATGGAAAAGAGGGCCTATTCAATGGTGTGCAGGCACTATGTTAGTTACCATGGAGATGACTAAGGTAATGAAGTAATGGTATCCACCTTGGTCAGTTAACAGTCTCTTTCTGGAATATAAATGGAGGCAGGGTGTATGGGAAGAGAAGTACATATAGGGCAATTTGGAGGAGGGACAGAGCCTATGGGAAGGGGATCTAGGCTGCATTCATGGCAGCTGGTACATCATCAGGGCTTCGATACATGACTGAGAAGCCAGTTGATAGGGAGGATCAGAACTAATTGTACCATAGCAAAGATAGGAAAATGCAGGGCATACTGGAATAACACCTAATCCAATTTTTCTGGAGCATAGGCTACCTGTTGAACAGGATTTCTCCACCTCAGTCATACTGATATTTTGAATTGGATAATTCTTTGATGTAGGAGGCTATTCTGTACATTGTAGGACATTAAGCAGCATCGTGGGCCTCTACCCACTAGATGCCAGAAGCACCCACCTTCCAGCTCCCCAACTGCCCATGTTATAATAGATAAAAATTCTCCAGACATTATCAAATGTCTCCTGAGGGCCAAAATGGGCCCTATTTTAGAACCACTGTTCAAGAACCTTGCTATTCTAGGGACTCATATACTTTTAAAATCTGAGAACTGTTACTCTGAGGAACAGTAGTAGAAAGGGCTTGTAATTTTAGTTGGGGTTAGATTATAGAAAGATTTGAACGTTTTGCTACACATTTGAAATGAATTTGGTAGGTAATGAGGCTATATTGAATGTTTTGTTTCCATCACAAATTTATTTCAGAAATACTAGACTGGTCATCTACTATTGCCTACTCAATATTCTTCTCACCTTTCTTACTACCTCAATCTTAATTGTAGGGGAATGCAAATGATAGCTAAAAACTGTATTTGCTAGTTTTCTTTGTGGGTGAGAGGGCCATGAGACTATATTCTAAACTGAAGTAACTTGAGGGTTTTCTAGGGAAGCTCCCTAAGATGAAAGCTCTTTGTCCTCGTTTTCCTTAGATCTTTCTTCTTACTTCCTAGAAATGAACATAATGGTTTGAATTCCAGAAGACATCTTTAAAGTTTAAGGAGACGAGCCCCTGTCTAAATATGGTGGAGAACAAAGTTAGAAGGAACCTGAGCCAAAGAGAAAGAAAAATAAACACCAATCTTATTTCAGCCACTATTTTTCAGAGGTTTATTACTTACAGCTGAATGCAATTCCTAACTGGTTAAGATTGTTATTGATGTGATAGATGAATTGGAGAAAAGGCAATCGTGCAGAAACTATTAAAATAGTCTGGGTAGAGCATTCGGAGAACATAAATGGAAATGAAGAGGTATTTAGAATCTGAGTTTGTTTGAAAATGTGGTAATTTTTATGTTTGTTCGTGGAAAAATGGTGATACAGTTTATAAACATTAGAAGTCAGGAAGAGGAGTGGGATTGTGATAATGCCATGAGTTTGGTTTGGGGCGCATTGAAAGTGAGGATTAATTAGACATAAGCTAGATGTGTATATCCAGCAGGAGAGAAGTTGCCTGTGAAGATACTAGGATATTGGCAGTGGAAGCCGAGCAGGAGTGAGGATTGGCAAAATAAAAGGAGAAGGAGAAAGGGATGATTGTGAGCGTATTGTTGAACTGGAGAGAGAAACCTGGAGAAGAATAAAGGGCTAAGTGTTGTTATGGGATTGCTGCTGAGCGGGTTGCACAGGAGCAATTTTACAATGGTGTTTAAATGTGGAATTCAGAGGACCTGGTGCTATTTTATGAGAAAGCCCACTTATTCCAGGAGCAGTCTCCTCTGTGGTGGCCCTATAAACCAGTGAGATCGAGTGTTTGTTCTCTCTCAGCAGTTAGGTTGACTAACAGAGGCATACTCCATCTTTTATAGACTCTTCCCAGGCTGCCTTGACTCTTCAGACATCTCCGTTAGCTAATGCTATCATAGAAATTGTTGATCCATGCTGCATATGATATGAACAAAGTTGCTGCCTTCTGGAAAATATTTTCTCCTTTCTCTGCTCAATATCTTGTGCATATGCAAAAGAATTCTGTGAAAGTTGATTTATTAAGCAGGCATAAATATAGATCATATGCTAGGGGTTTTCATGGATGCAAATATAATAAAGCTGTAATATAGGCCTGGTGGAGTTTATGCCTAGGATGAAAATCAAATAGGTGTGATAAGTGCTATGGTATGGTTTACTTCAGCATTCTCTGGTCATAGGAATTAAAGGTTTACAAATACATCTAATGAGAGGGCTCTTTGTAGCATAGTTGAAATCAGATAGTATAATGCCTCCATCTCATGTTCCTTTTGCTCATTATCCTAGGTATTCAAGTTTTTTAAGGTCCTATATGAATTTTAGGATTGTTTTTTCCGATATCTGTGAAAAATGACATTGAAATTTTGACAGGGATTGCATTAAATCTGTAGATTTCTTTGGGTAGAATGGACATGTTAACAATATTAATTCTTCCAAACCATGACTATAAAATATCATTTCATTTATTTGTGCCTTCTTCAATTTCTTTTATAAATGTTTTATAGTTTTCAGTGCACAGGTCTTTCACCTCCTTGGTTAAATTTATTTTCCCAAGTTTTTTTTTCTTTTTTTTTTTTTTTTTTTGAGATGGAGTTTCGCTCTGTTGCCCAGGCCGGACTGCAGTGGTGCTATCTCGGCTCACTGCAAGCTCCGCTTCCCGGGTTCATGCCATTCTCCTGCCTCAGCCTCCTGAGTAGCTGGGATTACAGGCGCCCACCACTGCGCAAGGCTAATTTTTTGTATTTTTAGTAGAGACTGGGTTTCACCGTGTTAGCCAGGATGGTCTCGATCTCCTGACCTCGTGATCTGCCCACCTTGGCCTCCCCAAGTATTTTTTTGTAGCTATTGTAAATGGAATTGTTCTCTTGATTTCTTTTTAGAAAGTTCATTGGTATTTTAGAAAAACACTGATTGATTTTTGTGTGTTGATTTTGTATCCTGCAACTTTACTAAATTTATCAGTTCTAACAGTCTTTTGGTGGAATCTTTAGGGTTTTCTATATATAAGCTCATGTCCTCAGTAAACAAGGACATTTAACTTATACCTTTTCTGTTGGAATGACTCTTGTTTCTGTCTCCTGCCTATTGCTCTGGCTAGGACCTGTAGCACAGTCTTGAATAGGAGTGGTGAGAGTGAGCATTGTTGTCTTGTTCCAGATCTTAGAGGAAAAGCTTTCAACTTTTCCCTGTTGAGTATGATGTTGGCTATGGATTTGTCGTATATAGCCTTTATTGTTTGAGGTACATTTATTTTATAACTAATTTGTTGAGAGAGTTTTTAATCATGAAAGTATATTATATTAGGTTGGTGCAAAAGTAATTGTTGTTTTTGTCATTTACTTTTAATATTTTGTCAAATACTTTTTCTGCATCTAATAGTATAATCATATAATTTTTGTCCTTCATTGTGTTAATATAGAATATCATGTTTATTGATTTACAAATATTGAACCATCCTTGTGTCCTAGGGGTAAATCCCACTTGATTGTGGTGAATGATCCTTTAAATGTATTGTTTAATTCTGTTCGCTAGTATTTTGTTGAGAATTTTTGCATCTATGTTCATTAGGGATATTGGTCCATAGTTTTAGTTTTTCTGTGACGTTCTTGCCTGGCTTTGGTAATGCTGGCCTGATAAAAAGAGTTTGGAATTGTTTCACTGTCTTAGATATTTTGGAATCGTTTGTGAAGAATTGGTTAAAACAGCATGGTACTGGCATAAAAATAGACACAGCAACCAATGGGACAGAATAGAAAGCTCAGAAAAGAACCCAAGTATCTACAGTCAATTGATCAAAGGGACAAAGAATATATAATGGAAAAAGGACAGTCTCTTGAATGAATGGTGTTGGGAAAACTCAATATCCATATACAAAAGAATGAAATTGGACTCTTATCTCACACTACATATATAAACATCAATTCAAAATGAGTTAAAAACTTCAACATAAGACCTGAAACTGTAAACCTACTAGGAGAAAACAAGGGAAAACCTACACAACATTGGTTTGGACAATGATTTTTTTAGCTTCAGCCACAAAAATGTAAGCAACAAAAGCAAAGCTAGACAAATGGGATTACATCAAAATAAAATACTTCTCTACATCAAAGAAAACAATTAACAGAGTGGAGAGACAGCCTACCAATTGGGAGAAAATGTTTGCAACTCATACATCCCAATTAGTGTAAGAGACTAATATCTAAACATATACGGAACTCAAACAACTCTATAGAAAGAAAACAACCTGATTAAGAAATGGGCAAGACAGTATCCTAGGTGAATTAACACCGAAATAGAAAACCAAATACTGCATGTTCTCACTTATAAGTGGGAGCTAAACATTGAGTACACACAGACAAAAATATGGGAAAAATAGACACTGGGGACTCCAAAGGGGGAGAATGAAGGGGGTAAGGGTTGAAAAACTACCTATTGGGTACTATTTTCACTACTTGGCCTATGGGACCATTAGAAGCCCAAACCTCAGTGTCATGCAATATACTCATGTAACAAACCTACAAATGTACCTCTTGGATCTAAAATAAAAGAAATAAAAAAATAAGAAATGGGAAAGGGACCTAATAGACATTTCTCAAAAGAAGACATACAAATATGAAAAAATATTAAACACTACTAATGATTAGGGAGATACAAATTAAAACCACTATGAGATATCACCTCACATGTATTAGAATGGTTATCAAAAATACAAAAGAAAACAAATGTTAGCTTGGATGTAAGAAAAGACTGTAGTGTGAATGTAAATTAGTACAATCATTATGGAAAACAATATGGAGGTTCCCGAGAAAACTAAAAATAGAATTACTGTATGGCCCAGAAATCCTACTTCTGGGTATTTACCCAAAAGGTTTGAAATCAGTATGTCAAACAGATGTCTGCACTCCCATGTTCATTGCAGCACCATTCACAATAGCCAAGATACAAAAGTAACCTAAGTATCCATAAAGGGATGAATGAATAAAGAAAATGTAGATATACACAATGAAATACTATTCCATCTTTAAAAATGATGGAATTCTGTCATGTGTGACAACATGGATGGAATTGGCAAACATCATACGAAGTGAAAAAAGCCAAACACACAATGACAGACACCTCGTGTTCTCATTTATATGTGGAATCTGAAACAGTGGAATTCACAAAAACAGAGAGTAGAAAGGTTATTACCAGAGGCTGGGGGTGGGGAGAATGGGGGCATGATGGCCAAAGTGTACAAAGCCTCAGGTTCAAAATAAGTTTGATTTTTACAGTTTTCCTTTTTTGAGATTAATACACAGCATGGTGAATATAATTAACAATTGAGCACTGTACATTTAAATTTCACTAAAAGAATAATTTCAATGTTGGTATAAAAATGTAAAATATTTGAGGTGGGGAATATGTTCATTAGCTTGATTTAACCATTGAAGATTGTAATAAAAAATCATAACATATGTACCTCATACCTATATACACCTATAATTTGTCATTTTAACACAAAGCTAGGACTCCTCTTTCATTTGTCCAGAATGTGTGGGCTCTGGGGGTCTGTGTGTTTCCACCCTTTTGGGAAATGCTGCCTCAGTCTTCCCTTCTCCTTTGTCCATACAATTTCATTCTCTTTTAGCATTTCCTTCCTCTACATGTAAACAGTCTCCAGTATCATCTGTTTTTCTCTTTTCAAAAAAGATGCCCATTATAGCCACTGTTTCTTCCTTTGTTGTATTCACAGTTGCCTATCTGCAATTATGAAATCTCAATGCTCTGAAAACCAGAATTTTTTTTTTCAATAACTGATTTGGCAGCAAAACCTGCCCTAAATTGGTATGAGGTGCTATAGAGTGTTTATTCATCCCTAGAACATTCATTTTATTTTTATTAAAGAAATGTTAATATCTTTGGTTAAGGAGCCCTGCTTTATACCTTATATGAGAAATAGTATTAATACATTTAAAATTTTAAAAATTCTTAATTCGAAAACATATCTGGTCCCAAGAGTTTTGAGTGAGGGAACATGGCTCTGTCTGTTCTTGAAGCTCTATACAATGCAAAGAGGAGGAGGAAAGGAGGTTATAATAATTGGGAAAGTGGAGACAGCATGATTATCATTTGCAAAAGATGCCATATGCTAACTGAAAGAGCCATGAGAATCAACTGAAAAGCAAGTAGACATAAATAAGATACCTGAACCCAAAGTAAACATGCACATCAAAAATCCAGCCTACACTACCTTCTGGGACTAATCTCATAGTTAGAAGAATTTGAGGAGCCCCAATTAGCTCATTAGTTTAAGTGACTAAGATCAAATGGAGATTATGGACAATTTTGGCTTGATTTTGTACTCCAAAATGAGGATCTGGGTTCCTGCCTGTACTTGGGGCCAACTTCCCACTTCGCCTTCCAGTTTTTCCCGACTCCCAGGGACTGCAGATCTTACCCTGAACAGCAGCTCTACGACTGGGGAACCACAGCCTGCTTGGCAAACTTTTTAGTTCAACCTTCCTGTCTAATCCCTTTTCAAGGTTCTCTGACTTGCTGGGACCCAGGCTTCCACCTGGATGGATTCTGCTCCCTGGTTGTCTCTGCTCTTTTGCTTCCAGTACTTCTTGCCTGCTTGTCTCTAGAATGCTGTCCCTTGTGTCATTACAGCTGCCAACTTTGGTCTTTTTTAGAGATGACATTCAGACAGCTTTGTTGAGATTTTACCTACAGAGTGATTGTGCAGCATGTCATATAAACAACCTCAAAAATCACAGAAACAGAATGGCACAGCTGTGCCTATATGCCCAGAAAAGCCATCGAGTTTTGGTGACATTTTAAATCAGAACAGTGACTAATGATGCAAGTGGGATGTAAACTCTGAATCATACAAAATCATTAATTGTCTCTGCACCAGGCAGAGCTGAAGCAATGGGATCTATTTTGTATGGCACATGTTTGGGCTTCGCAGACAAGCAGGGTCACAAAAGGAATCTTTTCAGAGAGGCCAAATTCTATATTCTGAAATAGTCTTCCTTTCCTCCTTCTCTCTCCCCTCCCTCCATCCCTTTCTTCCTTCTCTTCTTCCATTTCTTACTCATGTATCAGTTTTTTCACCTGAAAGTGAGATAATAACAGTATCTTCCTTATAGGGTTATTGCCTGGATTAAATAAGTTGACATCACTTTGTATATGTATAAAGTGCTTTGAGTGCCTGGCCCAAAGTAAGCATTTTTTAGGTGTCTACAATTATTATTGATACTGACTCTATGTCTGGCCCTGTTATAGGATCTAGGGATACAAACATTAAAAACACAGGTCCCTTGGGAGGCCGAGGTGGGCGGATCACGAGGTCAAGAGATCAAGACCATCCTGGCCAACATGGTGAAACACTGTCTCTACTAAAAATACAAAAATTAGCTGGGCGTGGTGGTGAGCACCTATAGTCCTAGCTACTTGGGAAGCTAAGGCAGGAGAATCGCTTGAACCTGGGAGGCGGAGGTGGCAGTGAGCCGAGATCACACCACTGCACTCCAGCCTGGCAACAGAGCGTGACTCCATCTCAAAACAAAACAAAACAAAAACAAAACAGGTCTTGCACTTAAGTATCACCAATATACAGGTATTTGCAGGATGTGCTGTTCTGAAGCACTGACTTTGGCATGAGGGGTTGGATTTGAAAGCCAGCTCCATCTCATCTCTCATTAGCTATGTCACCTTGGGGAAGTTACTTAATCTTTCTAAATCTTAGTTTCCTCCAATGAGGATAATAATAATAATTCATGTTTTATAGGTTTTTTTTTTTGAGAAATACAGGACATAAGGCAAATAAAGTACTTAGAATATTCAGCTAGGTAATAAATACTGAATTCCTTTTTCCGGAGGTGCTACTGATTGTGGGTCATAAGATGGTCCTGGACAGGACTTTACATTAGAATCCTTATCCTTACAGATGGATAAGAAGAACATGGGGTTCATTGTGCTCCTCTGGATCTGGTACTGGGGAATTTGTCAAGTTGAATACTTTATCCTCAACATGTTGGCTCTGCCAAGACAGCTGAGGGTCTATATGAAAGAGACAGGGATTCTGGAATAAGAAGACTTGGGTACTTTACCTCTCAAATTCTGTTTTTCCATCTGTAACATGGGTATAATTATGGTCTCTAACTCACACTTATAGTGAAGGTCAGTTGAGATAATCTAGGTCAGGAATTGAGCACAACAAACATGCGTGACATATAGTTAGTGTTCTATTAAACTGACAGCTATTATTATTGTTTTTGCTATTTTTGATTCATAGTTAATTTTCTGCTTGGAAAAGAGCTTGCATAGATGGGACTCTAGTTTTTTTTTTTTTTTTTTTGGAAGATTATCTTAGTTTTTAAAAACAATTGTTTTCTTATTTCAAGAGCAATATATGTTCATCACTGGAAGAAATCTCAGAATATTCTGTTTTGTATTTTCTAATCCTCCATCCCCGAGCAGAGTGGGAGTCATACTGGGTGAGATGGTGCAGGCTGGCTAGACTCCCTTGCCTAGCATATCATTTTTGGTTGACATAAAATTTCATAAGGAATGATCACCAAGAATCACTTAATTGTTACCCCGTTATTGGTTGTCCCCAAAGCAAGCACAGGCTGGGATTACTAAGTTTATTTTTTCTCTCTGGAGAATGTATTTTTTTAAGTTTTAGGGTGAAATTCAGATTCAGTGAGGTAATAAAATAATCATTGAAAATAGATTGATACTGTCTGCCATTGTCTTTATTTCTATAATAGCATGATTTCACACTAAGCAATGGGTGATGCTGCCAATAACTATCATCAATTAAACACCAGACACTTTCTGTGCATTGTCTTATTCATTCCAAATGACAACCCTGTGAAGTAGGTATTCAGTTCCTCTGTTAGCCATGAAAAATCTAGACCTGGATTAAATAACTTGCTCAAGATCAAAGAGTTAGGATTTAAACCAAACTCAATGTGCCTTCAGGCTTTTTAAAACTACTGTGCCCCCAAAGTTAGAGTGGCTTTAAACAAATAAATAAAGAATTAAAAAGCTTTAAACAACAATCTTTACTGAAGCAAAAAACTTCATAAATATTTCTTGGAACACAAAAGAATAAAAACAAAAAATGCAACATTAAACTACAGCTTAAGCATACTTCTCCCAACCTCCCAGCCTCATCCCAACCTACACACTGAGTCCTGATATTTAAAAATCTAATACAGCCAGCCAGTGGGGTTCATAAAACTGTGACCTTATATTTAAATTGTCAGGTGGAAGAAGTTTATAATAAACAAACAGGCAAGAGCAACCAAAAAATGCATACAAAGAGCTTTGGAAACATCTGAATACAAATCATTTTCTAAATGTAAATTGCTCTTATCATTGATTGTATAAGAAACACAACCTTAGACCTTCCCTGCATTGCAATAATAATGAAGGAAAGCCCTTATGCTCAAAATGATTAAAACATTTAACACACAAAATGAACACTAGGGAGAAAGTCTTGTCTTCATTATAGTCAGCGTTATGCCACACAATAAATATAATCTCCCTTAGGTTTTACCAAACATCCAAGCTCTTTAATTTACATTATTTTATTCATTTGAATTCACTTCGGATTTATGAAAGGAAAAAAATACATCTCACAGTAAATGAGAAGGTGTAGTTAACAAGATACCTTAATGAATCTTAATAAAATCCATGTGGGAGTGAAGCGAACATCAACTTACCCTGAAGTCACATCGGTTGGTGGCCAAATATTTTTATGGGGTGTGAGCAAGTGTATTCATCATTAGAAGATAATAATTAAAATTACTGCTTATATATGCCCTTCAGCTTAAGTTATGATCATGCACTATCTCCCAATTTTTGCTTCACATTCAAAGCATTTTATAAAAGGGAGAATAAGCTAGAAAGTAAACGATAGTATTTTCTCTGATGCTTTGCATACAAGCACTCAATGAAGGTAGATGACTGGCTGAAGAGAAGTGAACACTTTTCTTGTTTTTAATCACATTATGCCTTAGATGCTGTGAATATCTTGGCATCTACTTATTTAGCATTTATAGTTTCAACATTCTCAAGTGATACAATGACCATGATATATAGATTTGTTACATTTTGCTGAAAATTATATCCTTTTAATAAAAGTAAAGCGGCCGGCCACGGTGGCTCACGCCTGTAATCCCAACACTTTGGGAGACCGAGGTGGGTGAATCACCTGAGGTTGGGAGTTCGAGACCAGCCTGACCAACATGGAGAAACCCGTTTCTACTAAAAATACAAAATTAGCCAGGTGTAGGGGGGCATGCCTGTAATCCCAGCTACTCAGGAGGCTGAGGCAGGAGAATCATTTGAATCTGGGAGTTGGAGGTTGCGGTGAGCCGAGATCATGCCATTGCACTCCAGCCTGGGCAACGATAGTGAAACTCTGTCTCAAAAAAAAAAAAAGCATCATTATTTTAGCAAATGTAGCAAAAGGAAGAAAAATTTTGCAGTTCTATCATCAAGAATAATGTGTTCACCAGTGATTTTATATGTTGTCAAAAGACAAAATTACAACAAATTTAGTTTTAAATCTAATTGGCTTCTATTTGTGATTCATGAATTGGAGCAAGCTTCATTCTACAAAACTGAATGAGAGATATGACTGGGCAATGGAGAGCCGTGGGTTTTGTAAGGTGGGTTTTGTAAGGTGGAAGCAAGGAAACAGAGCAATAGAAAAAAAGCAAATTGGTTAATGTTAGGTTACTTCAGTTGCTTTTTTTTTTTTTGAGGGAGGATGTTAAAGCAGAGAGGACTTTCTTATTACACTGACCCAGGTAGACTGGAATCTCCTGTTTATCCGGAAAACCTGTGCTGTTTGGGAATCTATCTCCTTTCTTAAAGTTTCAGTTTGATTATGTGGCATTTAGCATGAGTGTTCCATTTTGGTTTGGTCTGATCTGTAGGGGCCTAGTGTAGGAGCTGTGTCCAAAACAATGGCCTCCCATACTTTTGTTTAACAGTGTGTATTTATATAAAAGGATATAAAAAATTAAAATTTACTAAACAGATGCCTTTTTCTTGTATTTCTTGTATTTTTTTTAATCTCCAGGTCAGGAGTTCTGTCTTCATCATCATTGAGAATCTAGGACCCAGCACAGCACAGTGTCTAGAACATACTAAACACAGTGTCTAGAACATAACATACTTCCTGAATAACTATGTTAAGATCTTTCTGTATCATTGCATATTCCACCACATCTTTTTGATGACTTCATAGTTTTCCATCCCATGGATGTATTGTGATTTATTTAGCTAAATTCCTGTTTTTTGCTTAGTAAAGAGGTTACTGATTTTTCACTATTTTAAGTGGGAGTAAACATTCACATAGTGAAATCTTTTCTTAGAAGTCCACTTTGACATCTTTGGAATTGTTGGTGTGAAGAGTAAGTAAAAATATATCATTTTTGATACCTGTTATCAACAAAGTCACCAAATGTATTTAAATATTTTACTTTGGCATCTATAAATATATGAAAATGACTATTTTCCACTTTTCCTAACTGGCAGGTCTTTGACTCTAAGTATGTGGAAAAATCTAAGTAGCGAGTAAGGCTAATTGACCAGCATTTACTCCTTAATGAGGTTTTATTTTTCTCAAGTGTACATTTTATGAAATGAATCATATCCTCAAATTTGTAAATTGTAAACGCTATTGAAATGATCCTCTTTTGAATGTCAATTTTCAGTGGATACCACTAGTGCCGTTAGATACTAGTGTCATTTAAAGACCACTCTTCAGTTAGTGAAAGCCCAACTCCTTTGTCAGTCCAGGTGAATAAAATTTCAGTAGATGAAGTCATTTCATTGGATTGTGAAGATCAGTAACTCATCCCAAATCTCATTTTAGAGAGTAAATACAGCTGGAGGAATAATATATGTCCTAGAGGTGTCAGGTTAGAAAGGATTTAACACCACACGATAAACCATAAATAACAGCATTTTGAAGAACTACGGCACATTCATTAATGTCAAAGAAGGAATCTGGAAATAGCCATCAACCAACCATCGTGGTGATAGGACAATTTCAGAATCCTTCATTGGCAGAGAAAGAGAAAATTCATGATCAAAAAATGGAAATGAAGAGATTTTTCCAATTATCTTTTGACACTAAGCGAGGATGTAATTTACTCTTTCTCGAATATGACCCTTTAAATGTGTGAAATAAGATTGTTCCTTGTATAGTCCAAGTGTTTCAAAAAGTCCATGAACTCTTTGAAAGTAATTCACTTAAGCTTTCAAGTTGTATATAAAATGGTACTAAACAATTTAATTTTAAGAAGCATGAAAAAGGCAAAGCCACAAAAAATTAATAAAAAGCCTTATGGTAGTGAATTTAAACAGTGACAGAAAAAGAATCTTATGGAACTCAGAAGACCAACCATGATATGTGCTCAGAAGCAGTAAAAATAAAGTCTGAGTATAAAGACCATCATGGATGGTCACAAACTCCTGAAAGTGATGTTCAATTATGACAGTTTCCCTAAGGGGGGAATAAACATGACTTTTCAAAATTCTAGATGAAGCAACTTACCATAGAATTATTGATACATAGATATGAACATAAAACAATTCCCTTTTGTGGTGCGTCTCTCAGAGAACAGAGGAAAAGAATAGCAAATGGGGGTTTGTGTGTTTTAACTCAATTGTTATGAAATAGACCTATAGACATAATTCTATGGATTAGAATCTTCATGTATGGTGGTAATTAGAATTTGAGAACAGAATGTGGATTATCTTGCAAGTTTTTAAGGAGCCAGAATATTGCTTTTTCTAGAAAGTTACCTAGATTCCTTTTGTTCTGCCCACCTCCCCTTTATTCTGATTTTATTCACTTTGGAGAATTGGTATATTTATACTTTTTTTTTTCTATCATGTCTGTGAGAAAATTCTACAAATTGTGTTTTCCAGGGAGAAGTTTGAAAAGGGATTCCATTTCTCACAAACATAAAGACAGCTCAAAGGTCTAATGATTCCATGTTTTATTTATTTATTCATTAATTCAACAGATATTTACGGAGAGCCATGTGCTATATTGTGCACAAATGATGCAGGCTTTATATTCATGGAGTTCTCATTTTATTTGGAAAGCAAAAAGTGAATAAATGAATGCACATAAGACAAAACAAACATAAATATTTATAAATTGTGATAAGTGTTATGAAGAATAAGAACAATAGCCTGAGATTGAGAAGACAATTCTACTATTTATAGGGTGATAGATAACAGTCTACTTTTTATAGGGTGGCAGGGCAGTCTTCCCCCAGGAAGTGAAATTGAAGGTGAGAGCCAAAGGATGAGCAGCAACTAGTCATCCAAACAATGCCATATGTAGGGGAAAAAGGAGTTTGTACAAAAAGCCATGAGTCAAGCAAGAGCCTGTTGTGTTGGGAACCCTCAAAGAAAACCAGTGTGGATGGGATGATGAGTGGGGAGGAAAAAGGGCTTGAGGGAAGCTGGTGAGGCAGTCAAGGCCAGAACATGCAGGATCTGTGAACCACGAGAAAGAAGTTTGAGTTCTACCTGAAGTATAATCCCTTAAAAGATTTAATCAGAACTGTAACATGAGCTTGACAAAATTTGATTTATGTTTTAAGAAGATGACTCTGGCTACTAAATATGGAATATAGTGAAAAAGCAGAAGAGTAGAAGCATACACATTGTCAAGAGTTGTCGAAATTTTGGCTAGAAGATGATGGTGTTAACAGAGTAGAAGGCAAGAAATTGATTATTTGAGATATAAATTGATGACAGGATCAAAGGTGTGGGTAGTGCATTGTATATAGGAGCGAGGGAGAATGCAGCATTTCTAAGACTTTGGCTTATGCATCAGGATCAACGGTGGCACCATCTTACTGAAATGTAGATGATTGTAAGGACAGATTGCAATTTATGGATTAGATGATAGAACAAGGTTTTTCTAAATTTCTCTGGTGATGGGTCACTTGGGGTACTTGTTAAAAATACCTGGACCCCATTCCAGGCACTCTGAGTCAGGGTCTGTCACTGAGTGGTCTAAGAAGCCCTAGTTTGAAGAAGCATCAGAGAAGACTTTTTATCACCAGTGAAGTTGGGAAAACATTGTATTAGAGAATGGAACCTCCATGGAAGAGGGTTCCTGTGTGACATTGTGCAGAACCAGAGGATGGGGAGAGAAGAGGCTTGATTTCAAGGAAGAGGAGATTAAAGGCCATCGGACTTCCATTGATTAAGAAAAGGACCCTAATAGGCCAGGCGTGGTGGCTCACACCTGTAATCCCAGCACTTTGGGAGACAGAGGCAGGCAGATCACGAGGTCGGGAGTTTGAGACCAGCCTGGCCAATATGGTGAAACCCTGTCTCTAGTAAAAATACAAAAATTAGCTGGGAGTGGTGGCATGCACCTGTAGTCCCAGCTACTCAGGAGGCTGAGGCAGAAGAATTGCTTGAACCTGGGAGGCAGAGGTTGCAGTGAGCCGAGATTGCACCGTTGCACTCCAGCATGGGTGACAGAGCAAGACTCTGTCTCAAAAAAAAAAAAAAAAAAGAAAAAAAAAGAAAAGGACCCTAATCAAAGTACTTAGCATAGTATCTGGCACAGCATGTTGATTAGTGTCAGTGTAGGATAGTTAAAATATTGTATGCTATATTCAGATGTGCAAAAAAAATACCATCTTTATTTTTCATAACTGGTCTAGTGTTCCTTATGGAGGTAGTAATGGAGTAAGGGAGAAAAAGTATTGGTCAAATCCAATACATCGAATCTGATTTGTTTACTTAAATAATGTTGTTAAATATTTGTCTTTCTGTCACTTGTTAAATAAAACCTCATTTTAAAAGGATTTTCTCCTCCCTTTGCATTTTTCCAAGGTAACATCTTACTGGGAGAGAATGGCTTGTAAGACTTCAGGTAGCAGGCAAAGGAGCTATTATTTTGTAATGTCCTCTGAATTCTCTGGCCTGTGAAGAGATGATCTTTTTCTGGTGTTCACATCTGTGACTGGTGAACTCATTTGTTGCTCTTTAGGCATCAAACCTGAGGCTTCACCACCACTAACTAAGCCCATGTCAGCTCTGAGGCCTGGCTTTGATGCCTCCCATCAGCCTGGGGTTACAGGGTCTTCTTGCCCAGAGAACATCTGGAAAGCTAGTCCTATAAACTCCTTTCCACATTGTTCAAGAGATATGTAGGATGTTTTGCATCTCTTTCTGGATACTTGAGCACCAGTGAAGGCTCTAAGATCCTCCCTTGCCCACCCTTGCCACTTCACCTATGGTCCTCTGCTACAGCCACCCTGGTTGATGTCAATCCATAATGCAGTCTCCTTTCAGAGCCCTGTAAAGTAGAGCAAAAGCTCCTCCTATTTCTGTTTTGTCCCTTAGCCTATCCCATATGCTCTCTCCTTTCACTCAGTCCTTAGCCCAGAGGGAAAGTCAAAACACACACATCTTTTCACCTGTGCCTCCTTCTGACTTTTCTCCTCCCCTCTATGCTTCTCTGGGGGTCAGAAGTATGGACTTTCTTCTTCAGCTGACTTTCTTCAAGAGTTTTTCCACATTATGTCTTCTTTTCTCCAGATGCGGCATCTACTTTTCTGACTGTTCCCTTCTCCAGGGTAATAGTGAAGAATGGCCAGTAAGGAATGGGATTTATGGCAAAGTAACAAAAACCATATTGTTTTACAATTTGTAATACAGTATTTGAAAACATTGTGAATTTTCTTTGTTGCTTTGGTTTATCCCTGATTTAAATTCCAATGATGTTAGTACAAAATCTCTCGAAATGTATACTTAGTTTCCTGGATCACATAAATGTAGAGTACTAGGGGTGGCTTTCCATTCTATACCTAGTTTTGGTTGGACAGAAACTTAAGAAATACAGTAGTTGTACCAGCTGTAAGGAAAAGAAAAGCAAGGTGACTCTTGTGAAGAAGTGAGAGGGAAGAAATAGGAGCCAGATTAGAAAGAAGTCATGTGAGAGCCTTGGGAAGCAGGGTGCAGGCTCAATTTATGTTTAGATACATACAGTGTTAGGCCTGGAAGAGATGCTAGCAATAGATGAATGCCTTCTTTTGCAGATATGTAAATCAGTGCTCAGTAGTGCGAAGTGATCTGTATGGATTTTAGAGCTAGTGAGAGACAGGCTTGAGACTTAGTCACATCCTTGGAGCAACTGCTTCCTAATCCTGAGCTCCCCATCCTCTGGTTCTGCACTATGTCACACATTATTTTCCAAATATCCCAGCAAGCATCAGAAATTACAACTTTAATACTACCTTCAAGTAACCAAAAAGACTAAGATTTGTGAATAAATTGTAATTCCTAATTGATCATCTTTAATCACAGCTCCATCCTAAGGATTGCCTTCGAATAGAAATTCAATTTATTGTATTAATTTAAATCATTGTATTAGTGACATTAGCTGCTACAGGTAACATTAGCTGCTCTAGGCAACATTAGATGCTAAGGTAACATTAGCTGCTATAACAAAAAATTTCCAGAACAACCAATACAGGTGTTAGATGGGTTCCTTCTGTCTTGTACCTCTGCCATCCTGCAGTGGAGAAGTTCCCAAACTTTCTCAGTTCACAGAATGCTTGTTGTCCCCTAGTACTTTTTTTCACAGTGCTCCTAAGCCAAAAGAAATAGCTAACAGCACTGTTGATCAGGTAGTTTGGCTCCCAAACTTAATAAAGATATATGTTCTAACAACTGAGTAGCTTCTTCAGAAAAAAATCATACACATAAATGGAAAGAGAATTTTTTTTGTTATTAATACAATTGTTCAATTATTAAATATATTCTACAGTTGTATTAATTGGAGTGTGTATGCCCATTGAGTACTGCACAACCTCTCAAACCTTGAGATTCTTGAGTTTCTTTAAATGGATTGAGAACCTAAATATGGAATGCAAGGCTGAGTGCATAATGTTTTCAGATTTTAAACACTATTTTACACTTGTGTTGCCACATCTAAATAAAGAGCAATTTTAGAGACTCACTTTTACTAATTCCCTCAGAGCATTCAACTTAGTCATAGTAACAATTATTTTCCTTACATGCTCATATTATTTGTTTACATACTATTTAATTCAATAACATAATTACAATTATGTATAAGACCTGCATAATTAAGTTTGGGAACAAACACAAGTAAGTGTAAACCCACTAGATGAGTAGAAGTCATCAGGAGTGTCGTAGCTTACAAGGGGCAATCATTTAGCAGCTGCAGACATCACTGTGTTTGACAACACAAAAGGTTAATCCACTGAGCTAGGTAAGTAGAGGACTCAGGGCTGCTAGACCTATGCAGATGAAAGAATCAAGGGTACCTAAGGCTTTCTTCTTGTCTGACCAGTGCTGAACTGGTCAGAAAAGCAAAACACAATTGTGTTGCTTCCAGAGACCCAATGTCTTCCGGGTCCTTTATTGATAGGTAAGGAAATGGAGACTCAGATAAATTGTCTTGGCTACAGCCAGTTTGAAATCAGGTTCCTGCTTTTTTTTTTTTTTTTTTTTTTTTTTTTTTTTTTAGACAAAGTCCCACTCTATCACCCAGGCTGGAGTGCAGTGGCGCCATCTGGGATCACTTCAACCTCTGCCTCCTGAGTGATTCTCCTGCCTCAGCCCCCTGAGTAGCTGGGACTACAGGTGTGCACCACCACACCTGGCTAGTTTTTGTATTTTTAGTGGAGATGGGGGGGTTCCGCCATGTTGGCCAGGCTGGTCTCGAACTCCTGACCTCAGGTGAGCCGACCAACTTGGCCTCCCAAAGTTCTGGGATTACAGGCATGAGCCACCTCCCCCGACCTGACATTTAGATCAATATTCTTTCTGTTACAGTAAACCACAGACCCAGACTAGAGAGATCAATTAGGAATTATTTATTCACAAATCTCAGTCTTTTTGGTTACTCAAAAGTAGTATTAAAATTGTGATGTCTGATGCTCACTGGGATGATTGGAAAATAATGTGTTCTGGTACTTCTTTAGTATTCAGAACTATGAACCACCTTACCTGGCACTCCAATTAAGCTAAAATTAACTAACTGTGAGGTAATGAGGATATAGATAAACTAGTCCACATATGTAATTATGAAAACAGCTCTTACTATTAAATAGCAAGCATTTTGTTTTGAGCCACATTATCATGGTTTAATTAATGCCTGTTCTATGCAAGCCTTCTCTAGAGATTACAGAAGAAAATAATCAAACTGTTCTTTTCATTTTTTTTCAAAAAGAAGTGATAGAAAACAGTTTCTTCCTTCGTCTTAGTGGAATCGACAAGAATGGAATTTCTAAAAAGATTTTTTTTCAGCCTACATATTAACTGCCTACATATTAACTATAAAAATTCCAATCTGGAACAACTGCTCCTTTATTTTAAAAACGTCAAGTCAGTAGCCCCCTTGGTTTAAAAATACAAGCACTGTGATTTCTTTTTAGATCTTTATTATATAAAATGTGAGTTTTTGAATTAATTTTTTTGCACAAAACCTTACACAAAATTTCGTTGCACAAAATTAAATTATATTTTTCTTCTTATTTCCTGAGTTGTATGTATATACATACTTATGTTCAATTACATACACACATGCACACACACACGTGTGTCTCTGTGTATAATACATATGTATATATATGTGTGTATGTTCAATGTAATATTTGTGGGAATAATACATATATATGTGTGTGTTCAATTACACACACATAGACATACATATACACGTGTATATATAATACATGTGTGTATATGAGTGTGTGTAATTGAACATATGCATATACACATATGTATTATACACACACGAATATTAAAACTTAGACACAACAAACCTCTGTTTTAGGGAAGTGAATTTTATATCATTTGAAAATAAATTGTAGGCAGATTATTCAGGATAAATCAACTAAAGACATGTTTTAGTTAATGTATGTGTAGGTAATATTCAGTAAAGCATACCACTTAATTCAATGGACCAAACGTTCTGGGCTTTTAGACAGTTTTTAATTTTTGGCTATTACAAATCGTGCTGCTATGAATGCACTTGAACATATCTTTTGGTACACGTATCTACACATTTCTCTTGGTTTTATACTTAGGCATAGATTTGCTAAGTCATAGGCCTTTTACATGTTTACTTTTAGTAGCTACTGCCAAATGGTTTTCCATAGGTGTTATACCAATTTACACTCTACCAGCAGTGAGTTACTGCTGTGTACCCTCACCCACTTAGTCTTCTTTATGTTAGCTACTCTGGTGTGTGTATATTATTTCATCACAGTCTTCATTTGCATTTCCATGATGACTAATGAATGAATGCTTTTATATATGCTTATTAAACATTTGGATATTCTGTTTTGTGAAGTACTCATTCAAATCTTTCATCCATTCTTCTATTTTCTTGTGTATCTTTGTCCTATTGATTTGTAGAAGCTCCTTATATATTCTCCATATGACTTGCTTGATTTATAGAAGCTCTTTTTATATTCTCCATATGAGTTCTTTGTTAGATATGTTTATTGCAAATATTTTCTTCCTGTCCGTGGATAGGCCATTCTTTTTGTATCAACCCTGATGCTGTTAGATTATTCTATGGTCAATCAATTATAAAAGAAAGGAAAGAACACTGGCTTTCATAACAGTAGCCTTGAGGTAAATGCCTGAACCATTACTGTGTGATTTTGGGCAAGTCTTCTAACCTTGAAGAATCTCTTTGCTCACCTTGTAACGTTAATAATACCACTTATAATATGTTGTGAAGATTAAATGAGCTATTTTATGTGACAGAGCCTGGCAGAGTGCCTGGCACATATTAGATCTAGATGCTTAATAAATTTTACAGGATGGAAGGGAATAAAATACTCTTGGTTAATTTCATCTTGGGTATCTGATACTGGCCACAAACTTTTAAAGATTTTCAGTGGCAAGTTTGGTGTTATGGCAGAGCCTCCCTGAGGCCTGCCTTATGTGCATTATGTCTTCATTATCCCTTCTTGTAAACTCAAGGGAGTAAAAAACCCTGAAACCACCAGCCCCTGCTCTGGTTTTCTGAGATGGGGGCTCAGAATATTTGCTTTTTTTCTGTGAAAGTGAAACACACTAGATAATTAGATTTTTAGGAGAGTAAAACACACTGAAAGTAAGAAGATTAAAAAAAATAACAAGGAATACATATTTCTAAGAGAAACAATTTAAGTGTGTCCAATTGTAACTAACTATCTCCCAAATCTTTTTCTTAATGAAAGCTTTCCTTGGGTTCTGATGGATACATTACAGGTTACATATACACCTATATTTCTGCATTTTATGTATATACTTATATGTGTATATATACATATATATACACATTAGGTATATATGTATATATACATATATACACATTAGGTATATATGTATATATACATATATACACATTAGGTATATATGTATATATACATATATACACATTAGGTATATATGTATGTATACATATATATACACATTAGGTATATATGTATATATACATATATACACATTAGGTATATATGTATATATACATATATATACACATTAGGTATATATGTATATATACATATATATACACATTAGGTATATATGTATATATACATATATATACACATTAGGTATATATGTATATATACATATATATACACATTAGGTATATATGTATATATACATATATACACATTAGGTATATATGTATATATACATATATACACATTAGGTATATATGTATATATACATATATATACACATTAGGTATATATGTATATATACATATATATACACATTAGGTATATATGTATATATACATATATATACACATTAGGTATATATGTATATATACATATATATACACATTAGGTATATATGTATATATACATATATATACACATTAGGTATATATGTATATATACATATATATACACATTAGGTATATATGTATATATACATATATACACATTAGGTATATATGTATATATACACATATAAGTATGTATATAAAATGCATAAATATATATATACATTTATATTATACATATATACATTATATATACATATATACATGTTCTGCTCAAATGTTAATGACTTTTATTTCAGTTATAAAACAAATGAAATTGTGACCTGCTTGGTGAGACATGACTAATCCAGGAGCAGCCAGATGGCAGTGCCAGTCAGTTCTCTTGAGTGATGTGACATCATGATCTCATCCAAACACCTGGGTACAGACTTGTAAAACAATAGGGAAAAACAGCACTTCTGGATTTGACAGTTTTCTAAATCAGATTAACAAATAGAAGCTTAGTATTAATTTATGCCATTTAAAAATCTACCACTCAGCATTTCTATAGTAGCCACTGACATTATTCATTTCTACCAGAGGTAAGGCAGAGGACCCCCACTTGAGTGGTGGCAAACAGAAAAAGTAGAATTGAACAAAATTCAAATTATTGTTGTAATCATCAGATGATTGTAAATCATCAGAGGAGCTACAGTAATTACTCTCCATATTCTAAAAAGGTAGATTTACTCAGGTGAAAAGATAGAGAATTCTGCCCTTTGCTTTTCCGTACATGTCAACTACGACTGAATATGCGGAGGGATTATTGGAGTTGATATTTCTCTCAAGCTATAAAATGATTTTACAAATCCCCCACTTCCATTCCATTTATAGATCTTTGCTTCCCCCCTCCCTCCCTGAGGAATGCATTTAAGTTAAATGGGAAAGTGCTGGGAATAGAACACTTAATTTTACAATCTGTTACTATATAATTAAACTAGTTCCAAGGGGCCTATTGACTTCCAAGGTTTAATGGGTTAGTGTGGTTCATGAAAACTCCAGGGGGACGCCTGTAAAACCTGATTTGGGACCACATCCTGGTTTTTAACAATGTTGTCCTTTGAGGAATTGTCACTGAATACGTCCTATATTTTCAGTGTTCTGCAGTGCAACAAGTACTTTCTGTTGACCAGCAACCAGGCATACTGTTCACAGCCAGTTATTAGAGGTGACTTGTTAGTCAGCCCTGGAAATCCTATAGCAGAATCCTGTCCCCAACCCTGTCTGCTCCAAGGTTTTGTTGAACATCACTCATGTGCAAGCTTTCTTATGTTTATACTTGATGATATCCTGAATTCTCAAATTTGGATAATACTTACTGGTTTAAAACTGAAAATAATAAAACTTTTTAGGTACTTTAAAATGAAAATTTCTGCACTTTAAATAAATTGGGCAGAATCAAGGGGTTTAGATAGATGTGTAAAGTGTCCAGGACAGATTTTGATAATTATATAATCTGTTTTGAGAATTCTTTAAAGGGGTTGCTTTGTAGGGCAAAAGCCCAGGGAAGTTGCTCTAAGTAGATCTGGAGGTCTTGAGAGATGCAAACAAACATTGAGACTAATACACTGGGTTCTTTCAGGGAGCAGAATCTTTGGCCTGGAAGTTGAGAGGAAGAAGAAAAGACAGGTTTTGTGAGTTTCATTGTCAGGCATGAAAGCTGTGGGTGGAAATTCAATGGAGATCTTATTAATCATCTCAGCAATCAATCTGTGGACCATGAATTAGTAAGATACTGTAATGTTTGTAATTTATTTTGGTTATGTTTGTCATCTTATGTATTTCCTATGATGATCAGCAGTGAAATCATTGGAATGTAAAGGTCTGGATATGTTAGTTTTGAGGAGGAGTGATAAAAAGAGTTATTTGTTTATTTTTTTTCAGAGCCACTCTTGATGATAGAATTGGTGATGTGACAGCCACCAAAGGAATGTGACACAAAGTAGAAATGAGACCTGAGATGTGGCCTGGACCTTTACCATGGAAATGCCCATAAATTGCGTCCCTATTCCTTAAGATTTTATTTAAAGTTATTTTCAGAATGTTGTGAAGTTTCCAATCATACCAAAATCTTCAAAAAAAAAAAAAAAAAAAAAAACCCACAGAATTTACATTTTAAAAGCACCATTGTTGTCATGATAATGGTGGCAAGTAATTTTCAAATTTGGGTTATTTTAGAAACAGAATAAAAGAAGACAACTATAATATAATCCCAATAAACAAAAGCAAATAAAAAGGCTAAATCATGGGACTATCAGTATATAGATTCTACTTATTACTGTGGTATTTGTTCCTTATCTTTATGAAGTAGTTCATATTTTTTATTATGCAAGTTTTTGAACAAATACAAAAGTTCAGAAAACAGTATAATGAACAGCATATACCTATCACTCAGGTAATCCGGATTTTTCACACTTGCATCATCTATCTTTTGTTTGGGACTGAAATATTTTAAAGCACATCTAAGACCTTATCCTGACTTATCTTTTCATTTTAGTGATCTCCTTGCAAGTAATTGTAGCAGATAATATTATCATCATTTGATAGGAGAAGCTGAGTCCCATACTTTTAACTTGCCTAAGGTCACCCGAGGAGTTAGTAGCAGAGCTATGATCGCCTCTTTCTCAACTCCATTAGACTTGCTGGCATAATTTCACAGTTCCCAGCGCCCCTTGTCCTTGAGAACTGTTCCCTGCGTAAGACTTAGTTTTAGCAGGTCTGTCCTTTTACTGTGTGACAACCCTAACATCCCAACCAAGATGTAACGGATGGACCGTGATGGATACTCAAGCTCTGATGAGCCAGTCAGTTTCCTTCCTTTTGGAATTCATTATTGGGGCTATAAAACAAATCTGTCTTTCAGGAGGCGTTGAGATACATGCTACTTTGGAAATGATGGGTCAGAGAAACTCTCCCTGAGAGGAGATACCTGAATAAAGTCTGGAAAGAATAAAGGGGGGAACTGATATGGTTTGGATCTGTGTTCCCACCAAATCTCTTGTTAAATTGTAATCCCCAATGCTGGAGATGGGATCTGGTGGGAGGTGACTGGATCATAGGAGAAGATTTCTCATGAATGGTTTAGCTCCGTCCCTCTTCGTACTGTCCTTGTGATAGTGAGTGAGTTCTCATGAGATCTGGTTGTTGGAAAGTGTGTAGCACCTCCCCTGTTCTCTCGCTTCCTCCTGGACCAGCCCGTGAAGTGCCGGCTCCCTCTTTGCCTTTCGCCATGGTTGTAAGTTTTCTGAGGCTTCCCCTAAAGCTGAGCAGGTGCTAGCATCATGTTTCATGTACAGCCACAGAACCATGAGCCAATTAAACCTCTTTTCTTTATAAATTACTCAGTCTCAGGTATTTCTTTATAGCAGTGTGAGAATGGACTAACACAGAGACCCATGCTGACATCGGGGAAAAAATGGTGATCCAGGCAGAGTGAACAGCAATAGCAAAGGCCTCAAGGTGGGACATGCTTGGATGTTCAAGGAAGAGGTGAGAGTAGGGGATTCAAAGACAAGCATGGCAGGTGATGGTGGCAAACAGACACCAAAAGAAAGATCATAGAGGGCCTTGAGGGCCAAGGTAAGGTCTTTGGAGGTTTGTCTGAATTTGATGGGAGCATTCTGCAAGGTTTGGAGGTTTGGAGCAAATAGGTGATAGAATCCAACTTACAAATTGAAGGGATCCCAAGTAGCCATGTGGAGAATAGACTGTAGGGACCAGAGGGAAGAAATGGGGAGAGCTGTTAGGACATGGCAACAACCCAGGTAAAAGATGATGGTGGCTAGGATGAAAATGATAGTTGTGGAGGTGGTGAGATACAGTTCCTGGAAACTGTCCCTCAAGAGACCTAACTTCCCCAGGGTTCTGTGAGAAGACACAGAAAAATTTTAGAAAAATTTTAGAAAAATTTCTAAAAATTACTTTTTGGTTTGTTTAACTAGTTTGAGCTGTTTTCTTTGTCTTACAGTAAAAAAAAAATCTTACCAAAGACTCTGTAGTCTTTGCCATTCCACAGTACTTGGTGAATGCTTACTATGTGCATAGTTGACTGTGGCAGGTTGTAGTTCCAAAAGATGGCCAGACAATACTTTCCATCCCACCCAATCTTCTTACAATGTGACCTTGCCATCCCCTATTAACAGCTGGAGTCTATGTCACCTTCCCTTAAGATGGGACTACCTGGCTCAATAGAATCTGGTGGAAGTAACACCATCTGACTTTCTGAGACTACATCATAGAAATATCATTTGACCCAGCCATCCGATTACTGGGTATATACCCAAAGGATTATAAATAATGCTACTACAAAGACACATGCACACATATGTTTATTGCGGCACTATTCACAATAGCAAAGACTGGGAACCAACCCAAATGTCCATCAATGATAGACTGGATTAAGAAAATGTGGCACATATACACCATGGAATACTATGCAGCCATAAAAATGGATGAGTTCATGTCCTTTGTAGTGACATGGATGAAGCTGGAAGCCAACATTCTGAGCAAACTATCACAAGGACAGAAAATCAAACACTGAATGTTCTCACTCATAGGTGGGAAGTGAACAATGAGAACACTTAGACACAGGGTGGGGAACATCACACACTGGGGCCTGTTGTGGGGTGGGGGGAGGGGGGAGGGGGGAGGGATAGCATTAGGAGATAATACCTAATGTAAATGACCAGTTAATTGGTGCAGCAAACCAACACGGCACATGTATACATATGTAACAAACCTGCACATTGTGCACATGTACCCTAGAACTTAAAGTATAATATAATAATAATAATAATAATAATAATAATAATAATAATAATAATTGGACCAAAAAAAAAAAAGCAAGATGGCATTCCTCTGGCTCTCTCAGGAGGCTTGCCCTTGGAATCTGGTCACCATACTATGAGGTGGCTCAGGCCACATGGAAAAGCCACACATAGGTATTCAGCCCCAGCAGAAGTCCTAGCTGACATGGATTTTCTGCATGACCTATTAGTGAGGAAGCCATTGAGATGACTCCAGTATCATCCAGTGTCTGACTGCAACCACATGGGAGAACTTTAGCAAGAACCACCTAGCTAAGCCCAGTCAGCTCCAGAACCATGCAAATAAAACAAATAATTGTTTTAAGTCACTAGTATTGGGTGGTTTGTTACATAGCAATGGATAACTGATTTGGTTACCGTATGTATTGCATTATCTAGGACATCTGATTTAAACCATTATATTTTTCTAATAATAGTGAATAATTCTATGGTACTTATTACATGCCAAACATTGTTTTATGTGCTTTACATGTAATAACTCTTTTAATCCTCACAATGGGCTTATGAATTAGGTACCATTATCATCCCATTTTACATATGAGAAAATTGAGGCGTAAAGAGGCTCAAGGTCAAACACTTTATAAATATTGTGCTAAGTTTTGAACCAGATGGTATGAGCTCCAAAGCCCATATATTTAAACATTACCCTAAGCTGCCTCAGATCCTGATGGAATATTTATCAGGAGCCTTGCCTCAATTCTGTGTCCCTGATAGCCAGTAGTTATGACAGTACTTAGAGAATATCAGAGATAATATAATCCAGAATAGTTGGTCTAAGAAGTATTTGTGTTTGCCATTCTTTGCCTAGAAAAAGCAAACAGCAAAACTAAACATCCAACAGATGAAACAAAGGAAAATAAAACACATTGACCCTCCTAAAATTATTTTTTCTCGAAATCAAATAAAAATGTATTTCCTGGGCCACCCAGATAACTTTAAGCATCCTAGTCAAAGCACTTACGGCAAATACTTAACAGAAGCCATATTTCTTACTGTGTGTGGCTATTTCACTCTGTCATGGAAACAAGGACTTTATAGAAATTTATGAAAATGGGTCCAAATATGCATTTAGACATGGCTCAAGACAATGGTTTAAGTAGATTAAATTTTTTTTTTTGTTTTTTCCACCATTCCCTTGTTTTGTCTTTCTCTCCTCAGGTAACTCTTAGCCTACTTGATGACTTCGCCTAAATTTAATCCAATAAATACTTATTGAGCTCAGAACTTCTTTACAGGCGGATATGTGATTAACCAACACGATGCACTTCTCTCAGGATGTGACCAGTGGAGGAAGGCTAGGGGCTGGGGGTTTGTGCTTATAATGGGAGAAGCTTCTAAAAACTTCATACAGAATGTGAGAGACAGGACTTACATTTCCAAGCAGAGGCAGGAAGAAGGACATTGCAGGTGTATCGACCAGCATGGGCAAAGGCTATGAGGTATGTTCCTGAAGAGTTTAGGTATCAGTGAGTGGCCCCCAGGCTAGAGAGTATTTTCAAGAGAGGAGTAGCAAGGAACAGTTGAGTGGAATCGGAAGAGAAGGGAGTAAACACTTATGGGGTACCTAATCTTGGTATATAAAGTCAGGCACTTGACTATTTCACTTTATCTCCACCCAAATCTGTGAGACATGGGAGAGATGCCTATACCCAAAGAGCTCTAGAAAGTGCCAGAAACTCAACCTCAATGGGTAAATGAACTCCAGCGAGCTATTAGCTGCAGGTTCTTTCATTGTGGAATGGAAGGTTTGGACTTCAGTTAAATTTCTCTATTAGGAGGAGTATTTTTAGAAGTGGAGAGTTGAAAGCTGGCCCTTTTAGGCAGCACGTATCACTTTCAGAGTTACAACCTATACAACACAGTCCTGGGATCTCATTTCCAGAGAAATTCACCCCAGCACTCTCTGGGGTTTGCTCTATGGTGAAAGGCAGGATAGGATGCCTCCTAGTCCTGAATTGGCAAGAAGAGCAGAGTGGCGTCAAAGTCGCCAAAGTGTCACAGTGCTTCACCAGCAGGACTGTTTCCTCCCTTGTCATGTGGGACATATTCCTTATCCTCCTTGCCTCAAAGGATGTTAGTGACAATTAAAAATAACTAGACAGGCCGGGCGTGGTGGCTCACGCCTGTAATCCCAGCACTTTGGGAGGCCGAGGTGGGCAGATCACGAGGTCAGGAGATCGAGACCATCCTGGCTAATACGGTGAAACCCCATCTCTATGAAAAATACAAAAAATTAGTCAGGTGTGGTGGCGGGCGCCTGTAGTCACAGCTACTCGGGAGGCTGAGGCAGGAGAATGGCGTGAACCCAGGAGGCGGAGCTTGCAGTGAGCCAAGATCGCGCCACTGCACTCCAGCCTGGGCGACAGAGCGAGACTCCGTCTCAAAATAAAAATAAAAATAAAAATAACTAGGCAAACATTTCTGTTACAATGAACTTTGCCTTTTAACCCAGTCAATTCCATTTAATTTTAATACCATTTTAAATTTTCAACTGCTTCTTAGAGGGTTGTGGGTGGGGAGGGAAGGGCTGAATTTTGTTTTTCTTATTTTACCAGGATGATATCAGTAGAAAGAAAACTAAATTTGGAAAGAAAACCAAGTTTGGGATCATGGCTTAACCACTTATTTGCAAACTGAGGGGTCTGGCAGGGGCAACCTCAATCTTTTGAACCTCAGGTACCTACAATTAACTCATCATCTACCTCATTGGGCTATTGCAAAGATTTTCTACCTTAATAAAAAATGCTTTGAAAATTATAAACTACTGATATTTGCTATGATATATAGAGCTGTTTTTGTGCAATTGTATTACCCTAGCTCCCAGTAAATAGTCCAACAGGATCTGAGGAAATTTATTACCCTAAACTGCCTCAGATCCTGTTGGACTAACTAAACACTGAGAAGCAGTCCATAATCCTAAATCCATTTATTTGTATAATGTCTCCATTTACTGAGTTCCTGGCATTTTGTATGATACCTATGTACTAACGCTTGGAAGTATAAGAGTTTAGGGTAATAAACTGCCTCAGATCCTGTTGAACTATTTATCAGGAGCTGCATCACCCATGCATATTTACAAGAGATTTTTGTGTCTAGCTTGACTCATTTAACAGGAACAAGATGTCCATATGCCACAACATAGGCTGGCCCATAAATTACATCCTGCCCTTCTTTGAACAATCCGGTGTGTCTGTCATGTGTCAAGCCTAACAAAACACTGAGAAGCAGTCCATAATCCTAAATCCATTTATTTGTATAATGTCTCCATTTACTGAGTTCCTGGCATTTTGTATAATACTTATGTACTAACGCTTGGAAGTATAAGAGTAGTAGTTGAGATTTTATCACGATTTGAGTATTGAAATCTTATCAAGATATGAAAAAATGCACCTTCTTCCTCTACCAAAAGAGATCTAGATACCAAGGTAAAATATGGCTTCTGTTTTCCACATAAATAAATTTTTGATATGCTTAAATATAGCAGTATTGATAGCTTTGATGATTGTATAGATAATGAAAACTGTGCTAGTTGCCGCAAGTCTATCTTTAGTCAAGATGAAAAAAAAATTACCATTGAAGAATATAGATGGGAACAAAGACAAACGTTAGTCCTAGTAGACTTGACTTTATATAATCCACAATTTTTCTTACTTTATTTGCAGCTGAAGTTGATCCTGGAAAGAGACTTTTTAGGGAGAGAACATTGTTTCCTTTCCCAGAACATTGTGTCAGGCGGGTAAGCAAGCAGGCACACTTTATTCTTTTTCTCTCTTTACCTGTAACATTGATATAAAGAAGTTCACAGAGTAAATGCTACTTGGGAAAAGTAGCATTTTCATTTTAATACACAGAAATGACTTGTCATCCAAAATTTAAAGTCATGTTACTTCATAGAGTCCAAAGCACAAGAAAATAGTTATTTTATCAACTAATTGCCTGCCGCTGAATTTCATTTAAGCCTGCTCTACTGCTCCCATAACATTTTACAAATCACTGTCTGCACTTCAATAGGCTCCGTGCAATATGCTAGTAGAATCTATTTCTTTCCATAGGACCTTCGTGTCTTAGAAGTGACATTGATAATTATCTCCCTTTCACATGGGCGCCCACCAGCTGAAGTGCCTAGGTGACTTCCTGCCCACACAGATGATTAGAGTTTTGCAATTCACATTGACTCAGGCAGCAGAATCAAATTCCCCACCTCCATCTGGCAGTTCCCTCTTCGGTCTGCTGCACCCTAAGGACAAAATGAGGGCAGCAACGTCATCCTTACCTACCTCTCTCTGAGGGTGAGAATTTCTCCTTGAATGGCTGTGAAGGCAGCAGGGCGTTGCTTCAATTTAGGTGAACATTAATATTAAACAATGGCTCTCCCTGGGAGTAGGTGGCTGCAGATTGAATGCTAAGCTGCTTCAGTAAGACTGAAACTGAACAAGAAATAAAAAAGAAACTAAATCTAGAAGAGGGCTGAAGGAAGAAAGCACCAGATTTTTAAAGATTTGCCAAGTGCGGAAGCTTAGCAGGATGAAGAACATTTATTTGTCTGTAAATGATGGTAATTTTCCATTGCTCCTTATCATGCAGTCTTTCAATATATTGAATTCAGGTTAGAAATACGTTTGTGATTTCATTCAGAACCTTAGCATTTTGTATTATAGTGGGAAGTACATTATTCACGTTTTGATGACTTAGAGGATTTTAGTAGTTGTTGCCCCAATTTTTCACACTGTGTCCACATCTTTTGCAATGTGATTTTGTGGTTCCTCCCAAGAGATGGCTTCCATTTTTCTACCTCCTGAATACAGATTGGCTTTTTAACATACTTTGGCCAAAGAACTTGGTGAAAGTGACCACACACCATTCTGGCTTCGAGCACTTCCTTCTTCTCTTGGAACCTTGCTACAGCTGTGTGAATAGTCTGCCGAGGATTAGACACCATGTGGAAGGGCTTAGTTGTTTCAGCTAAGGCCATTTTAGAAATGCCTATAGCTAGCTGAACAGTGGCTAGCAAAGAGTGATCCACAGCTGACCATAGATGCATAAGCGAGCCCAGGTGACACAATGACCTGAGTGATAATATAAGACTGTTCTTTTAAGATTCTGAGTTTTGGGTAGTTTGTTATGCTATGATAGCTAACTGATGATGCATCCACCAAGAATATAAGGCATGGTATTTATTTTTGTTTTTAAATATTCATTTAAAACTATTTTAGATCTTTAAATGAATAAAACAACAGGATAAAATGAATTAGGATTCACTGGCCCACTTACAACCAAATCACATGAGTGGCAAACAATGAAGCTTTAGATGCAATCTGAGGTCAGGCTCTTCAGTCTTGTGAATCAGGATGATGCGGCTGGATTTGTTTTTCCTTAAGGGCAATGATGATTCTTTGAAATTTTTTTTTTTAGAATTAAAGAAAATTATAGGATATTGCAAAAATAGTGCACAGAGGCCATAAACTTCACCCAGCTTCCTCCAATGGTGACATCCCATGTAACTATAGCACAATATCAAAACCAGGAAACTGACATCGATACAATGCTGTTAACTAGACTATAGATCTTATTTGACCTGTTTTTAAATCACTAATGGTGTGTGTGTGTGTGTGTGTGTGTGTGTGTGTGTGTGTGTGTTTGCAGTTCTATGAAATTTGATTCCATGTATACATCCATGGGACCACTAATCAATCAAGATGCAGAACTATTTCATTACCATGAAGGAAATCTTTTAGGTTGCTCCCTTTCAGTTGCACCACCCCATCTCTGTCCTCTGGAATCCACTAAATCTGTTCTCATTCTTTTTAGTTTTGTAATTTATTTTTAGAATATTATACAAATAGAATAATCCAGCACACGAGCTTTTTGGATTGCTTTGAAGTGCTGTAAGCAGTGGAAGAATGTGGTTGATTTTCATGTTAGTAAGAGCACTACAGCACTCAGATTGCACTAAGAAGACTGTTTTGGAGAAATGGGAGACTTGAGGAAGGGGAACAGGCAATATATCGTTCTAGTAATACCGGTGGAAGATGATGATGGCTTGAGATACAGTGGTGGTGGTGTGGACAGAACCAAGTGTGAATGATATTCAGGAGATTGAATTGACAGGATTTATATCAGTTAATGTAGAGTAAGAGGCAAGGAATGAGAGAAGTTGAAAATTCATGAACTCATTTGATCATTTGTTTAAAAATATTTGAGTGCCTGCTGTTGTACTAAGTGTAGGCAATACAGCACGAACAAGACTGTGACCTCATGGGAGTTTACATTTTCATTGAGAGGCAAATTGCTAAACACACTCACACATACACACATATGCACACACATATAATAAATAGATACCAGTTGCAAAGTAGAGGATTAAAACTGGGTAATGTAAATAAAAACAAATAAATCTTATTGTCATTCATTATGATAGGAAACTCCAGAATGGAAGGTTGAGAAAGGAGAAGAGGATAACTGAGAAACATGCTAGTTGAAGGTATCTTTGCAGGATATCCTGAGGGCAGTTGTATAAATATCTCACCTAATTCCTCAAGATGCCCTCAGATAGCAAATCAAGAGTCCTTAAAATTCTAACTATTGTTCTTTATAGGAGTACACACTAAGAAGAGTTAGAGGAATGAAAGAATAATAAGACAAGTTAACATTCATTGGATGTTCACAGTGTGCCTGGCACTTTTCTAAGCTCTTTACATAGATTAACTCTTTGCCACAATCCTATAAAATTTAATTAATTGATCTCTGCAGCAAACCTATAAAATAGGGAGTTATTATTGCCATTTTCCAGATGAGGAAACTGCTAAGGAATAGAAAGGTAGCTAGTAAAAGAGCACTACAGGCCGTTGCCCTAACCACTATTCTATACCATCTCTCTTTCAAATGTGTACCCTTACTGGAACTGTGTAAGCACATGTTTTACTCTAATTTTTATCATTCTTGGATTTGTGGTGGTTTTACTTACCAACCTATCTAAAGTAATTATGCTTAATCTCCCAAGTGCTCCCTTTAATAAAAGAGAGTCTGTTCACATCCCATAAAGTATTTAATTTCCCATTAGAGAGGATCCTGGTCCCTAAGGCTCTACCAATCTTCACTGGGATAGTTTTACAAATGACTCTTAGTATATATGGGCAAGTTATAAGTTTTCCATCAGGGCCAGGGCTAGGATGAGGTGCCTAGGAAACAAGATTTAAGGATGTGCTCATCTCAGGTGCTCACCCTACACTTGCATGGCTCTAAGAGTTTATGTCTCCTTAAATGTCGTGCTTTAAGCACTTAGCTTGTCTCTCCTTAGTCTCTGCCTTGTTTTTCATTCTGTCTTCCTGGTGATTAAACACTTTTGCATGTGCTTTTATATATGGTGTCTGAACTTACACTATAACAGCATTTTGCCCTTCTGGTCTGTGGTCCCTAGCTGCTTGAGGGACAGTTCTGTCATCTTTACAATTGTATCTTTAGCACATAGCACACAGTAGATGCTTAATGACTATTTTCCAAATGAATTAAGTGGAGCCTATTCAGAAACATACTCTAAAAATCTGGATTACATTTTCTGTACCCTTGAGGTGTTCAAATACCAAAAATGGAGAGACATAAATCAACTAGTTACACATTGATGAGCTAAGATCTGTGATAAAGGCATGGGCAGAGAGCTTTTCAAGCAGAGAGGAGGTTGTAAAAAAAACTGTGTGAGAGCTGTAGGGTGAGATCTCATATCTTGAGTCAATTCTGACCATCCCATCAACTTCTTCCATGCATACGCAAGTCTGCAGGGCAGCCAGGCTGATTCATTGAAAGCAATGAGGCAGGGAGTGGAAGAGTAATTTCTGAACATGAATTACCTAATGGAGGAGTTGGGGATGGAGTACAGGAAGGACGAGGAGGAGGAGGAATTTGTCTTCTAAAAATTTAATTTGTCATGCCATCAGGACACCCAAATGGAGTATTCTCTGGAAGCCTTGAAATTCTAGGGGGCTCAAGAGAGAAACAATCAAGGATAAAGCTGTAACTTTGGAAGCTGTAGCAGATCAGCAATATTTGAAGAGTTGGAAAAAAGTGAGATCACCTAGGTACAGAATAGAGTAAGGAGAAATAAGCAGCGAAAAACTGATAGAATGTGTGGTGTCCATTTATAATCATCATGCTTCACAGTAACATCCCGTCTTTCTGTGTACGAACAATTTGTCTACAGAAATGCCAAAGCACCCTTTCAGTTAGAGGTGTCACATGGCATGACAGCTGACACCTTCTTCAATGGGAATGCATTTGGGCTATAACATAAACACCAGAGGGGGTAAGCCCTGAGCATACTGCTCTCAGGGGACACCTTTTTTTTCGTTTTGTTTTGTTTTTTAATGAACAAAAGGTGTTCTTTGGTTTTTCAGAAGATAGATTTGTAACCAAACATCTATTCTTGGGAGACAATGAAATTATTCCTGGAAATATTTGTAAAATTCCATATGAACAAGACCGGTGTTTCTTGCATTTTAATTGCCTCTGTCTCTCAAACCCCTGTGATAGCAAAATGTTGTGTTTTATGAGGTTTTTCCAGAGTACTAAATCTTGACATAATCAATACTATGTATGTTAACTATCTTCAGGCTGTCTGTAGTAAGTTTGAATTATTAGATTCCTCTGAGGTCTAGACTATTTTTCTTTCAGCTATCAGTTACCATTTATCTATCCATCTATAGTACATAGATATTTTACAGGAATATTTCTAGGTACATAAATAAATTATGTGGCTGGTGGCAAAGACTGGTTGTTATAGCAAGGCTCCAGTGTATTATATTTAACCCAAACTGTAATAAAAGAGAGAGAGAGATTGAGAGAGAGAGAAGAGGAGAGACTGTGTGCTTCTCAGTCCTTGCTGGTGCCTTCTTGAAATTGCCAGAAAAGACACTCTGTAACAAGACTGTGTTGTCTGTGACACTCTCACATCACAGACACAGCGACTTGGGAAAGCAATGGTATACTGCAGATATAAAGTGTTATTAATTAAACATCCCAATACAGCAGTTCCCAGAAGCTATGATCAACTAGATAGAGAATATTATGTTTTTCTTTTTACAACTGCCTGTGAGCATTTATGGAAAAAAATATTAGATTCATTCTCTTATCCATTCTCCTCAAATCTTCTCCTTCCTCTTCCTCCCTTCCCTGCATCTTCCTCTCAACTCTACTACTTCTCTCCACAAAGAATTGAGAACAGCTTAGATGAGAACACACATGTTAAAAAAGGTAATTAAAATAAAGATCAGGGAAATTTTAAATGAAGCTGGAAATTCAATACCAGGGAAAGGAAGAACACACATTCACAGAGTATCAGGGTCAGCCCAGTTCTTACAGTTGAGCCCCAAATTGGCTCTGAATTTTTTAGCAGGTGAAGCAAAATGGAAGAAAAGCATGGCTACATAATTCTTCTCTTAAAAAAAGAAGTATCACAGTTTCTCAGGGGAAGCAAAGTTATCCTAGTAGAGATTTTTTTTTTCTTAGAGTCTCTGATAGGAGTACCAGGCATTTAAAATTTTTATGTAACCTTTGCAACATGACAAACATTATTTTAAACAGGTCGCAGTTGAAGAAACTGTGAACAAACCCATAAAACTGTTTATTCAAAATCATACCAGTACTAAAAGGTGGTGTCAGGATTCAAACCCAGGTTATCTGATTCTTATTCTGGTTCCAGAATGCTGCTGTTTCCATTGCATGCATCCCCTCTTCTGAGACATTGTAATCTACCCTGCTTTCTTTAATAGATGCATTCCTAAAAGACTTTTTTTTGTTAAATATATGCATATATGTACCTATAAAATAGCAAATAGACAGAACCTATATGTCAAATCAAATTGTATTTTTCCATTGACAAGATTCGTGATTTCAGGGATTTTTTTCTCATAACTACTATTTAGCTGGAAGCAGCTCCCAACTTTTAACCTTATCTTTGTTAGCATCAGAACAATTTTTCAACTGAAATTCTCCACAGAGCCCCATATACAAGAAAAGATTGAAACAGAGCTCCTCTGGAGGAGGCTGGGGTGGGCCAGAGGGAGCACTATGCTCTCAGAGACCCCTGGAGCAACTCCATCAACACAGTCTGAAACAAATCCCTTTAGAATTTACAAACAGCTGCCATAGTCACTGCCTCATTTAACTGTTTAATTTGTAGTTTGAAATAATCCTGTTGAGCAGATCAGTTTGGACTTTCCTTCATTTGGAAGTTAAAAAAACTGAGGCTCTAAGTTTGTGACGTTCTGGCCACTGTTCATCAGCTGGCATCTGTGTTCTTTATTGCTCAGGTTGAGTTAGTCTAGAAAACAGGGAGGACAGCAGGCAGTGTGAGAAGTTGATATCAAAGAACGAGTTGCTTCCTAGCAACGTGTCTTAGGAGTCCCATCTGATTGGTCAAGAAACCCTAAAGCAGAGAGTGGAGGAGCCCAAGTGACTGATGGTGACATATCCTATGTTAACCAAGAGTCAACATTTGTCTTACTGTTCTTAAATCATTTTTCATAACCTCCTTGAACGAGTAAAAAGTCAGGCCAAAGGTACTTTTAAAATGAAATAAGAGGACCAAAGAGATATTGTGGTCATGTAGAAAAGAGCAAAGAAGGACTTAGAAACCCCCTTCATTCTAGAATGGTTGGTAAGAAGGTTATACATTTCTGCTCCTCTGTTTTACCTGGCCTGACTTCTTTTGAAATAAACATTTAAGTCCCTTTCTGTCTTTATTTTTCCATTACAGAAAATTCAAATATGTAACAAAGTAGAGAGAATTTATTCTCTCATCACTCAGCTTCAGTAATTACATGCGTGTGACCAATTTTGTTTTATTCATATACTCCTCCCACCCTGGATTATTTTGAAGCAAATCTATGATATCATTTATTTATTCTGTAAATGTATCAGTGTAATAGAAGCAGTGTCTTACTTACTCGAAGAGCATCAAGTTCTACCTTCTCAATTGAGAGAGGGGGGTGGCCTAAGGGACGTTTCTGCTGTCACAACCACAGATGGCGATTCTGTAACTGATTGTGAGATTCATGCTTAGGAGTTTGTTTCTGTTCTTTCACATTTGGGAAGAGAGGCTGGAGACTTGTCTGTCTCAGAATAAATAATGCCTGAACATTAATTGTTTGGGAAGTCAGAACTTGGTGACTATGCCTTCAAAATACCTTTGGCTGCTCTTTTATGCTCTCTTGCTACCTCTGATTGAAGTAGCTTAATGCTGTAATATAAGAGCATTTATTTTCATAATTGAGAGCAGGATCCTTCAAATGGGGTTCATAGACTCTTAGATACTCCAAGGAGGAGCATTAGGAGGTCTATGGACATCCTGAAATTATGTACAAAATTTTGCATCAATGTGTGATGTATATTTTTCAAGCGTTCGTAGTTTCTGTCTTCTCAAAGGTACCTGTGACTCCCTCAAAATATTAACATTGCTGCACTAATCTTTGCACTTGTGCATGGAGAGGCCCATCTGCTATTGTAGTGGATCACAGTAAACCATGAGTCCATGAGTCTATGAATGCAGATATGATTCATGCCAAAGAGTATGAAACCAAAGTCCTGTAAATGCCAGAGAAGGGATAGAATTTTCATTTTGATAGAAGGTGCCTTGTAGATATCAGGGAGGGAAGGCATTGCAGCCAGCACTTAAGGAACTATTAGATAAACTGTCAGTTGACAGTCAACCTCATAGGACACAAGTCTTTAATAGGGCACTTGATGCCATAGTTAGGTAGTTACTTCTTCCAAGAACTATAGTGTTCACTGGGCTCCAAAGGTAACTTTTTCTATTTATCTGTTTAAGGGTGAATATGGTGATATGAAACACTGTAAAATGAAGGTTGATGGTGATGAGATTTTATTCAGAGACATTAAGGTGATTTTAGTTCAAATATTTTATTGAATATGTAGATTGCAAAAATGGTCACAGTCCTTTACTGTTCTCTGGCCATAACCTTAATAATGTGACTTTGCAGGCTCTCTCATCAAAAGGTAGAGACCCTGCCATCCCCTTGAATCCGGACTGGCTTTGTGACTTGTTTTGGCCAACAGACACAGTGGAAATAATAGGTTTTCATTTCAATACTAGTTTCAAAGACACTTTGCATACCACACTTTTTGTTATCTCTCTTGGGACCCCTCCTGTCCCATTCTGATCACCTCTGAGCACACCAGTGCTAGCTTGCTGGAAAATGACAGACTATGTGCTCCAGGACTGCATCAACCCTGCTTTCCTAGCCAAGTTCTCATGTATGAGAAGGAGGTATCAGCAAAACCTCTTACCCTTGCTTTCCCTGCTCCTGCTGAGTGAAGATGCATGGGAGAGGTGAGCTGAGACCTAAAGAACCCAGTCTACATTTCTAACCCACAGAATCATGAACTATGTAAATGGTAATTATTTTAAACTACTCAATTGCAAGAGGAAGGGGAGCTTGTTACATGGCAAAAGCTAACTCATACATTAGGAATCACGTCTTCTCAAAATAGAATCACATTCTCATTATCTGCAGAGATTTCAGTGCCCCTGAATCTCTGACATTTAACTCAATTTTCTGTTTATTTCTATACCTTGTATTCAAGTGCACAAATTACCTTTCTGTTATTATTTTTGAAGGAAAAGTATCACTATTAGCAAAACACACTCTCATTTCCCCATCTGTGCACTAGGAATTTTTATCTGCTGTAAGATGAAAAAATTTGAATAGGCAGGTATTCTTCCAAATGTATTATTTATGTCAATGAATCGGTTTTGATAAACCAAATGCCAAATAAAATTTTATTTAATAGTGTATTTATTAATTTATTTTGCCAAAGCTTCCCCTCCCTGAGGCAGAATTGCAAAGTCATTTTATTTATGGAAGTGCAATAAATAAAACTAACTACTGTGAATGAAAACATTCATTAATATCATAAAATATGATCCTAGTATGCATTCATTATTAATAGGAAAACATTGATTATAATGAAAGGAGGATAGTAGAACAAAATACCTTAAGGTCCTCATTCAAATTCCTCTTTTATCTAGGGACTGAGTTCATAGCTTTCATATCATATTCAAAGGTATTTCAGACTCCAAAGAGACTAAGAACCCCTGACTTAGTATAAATCTCCTTCACAGTTTATCAGTAGGTGTTTGAATAAATTTACCTTTTTCTATGTTGTCACAGCTATGCCTTTTTTCTATGTAAAAAAGAAAATTTGGCTCTATCTTCCTGTTCTTAGCTGTTAACTAGTTGAGAAGGCACCTCAAATTGCCTTCAGTCACACACAGAAGCTATGATGACTCTCTGAATACAAACAAGATGAAAAGTGACTTGTGAATATTAGCCCTGAAGTCTGAAAGCATCTGGAACATACACATAGAGAAAAATGGTGATAGAAACAAAGAAGTTCAAATGGCAGTAGTGACAACAACACGTTGAGGGGTAAAGAATGGAGTGTCTCAGCAGGTGGGAGACAAAATTATTCCTCTTTGTGTCTAATCTCAGATAAATGGGGGAAGTGCTTTGCAGGTCTTGCTTCTATCTTTTTCCAATTTTTTTTCTTTGCTTTGTTTTACCTAAACCCTAGTTTGACTCAATTCTTCATTTCCCATCAAGAAAGCTAAAAGCATCATTTTGCTTTTTTATGTTCCTGTGTTATTTGAGTCCTCTAGGAAAGAGACACAGAGATGAATTGAGAGGCACACATGGAGTAACAACTGTGCAAGGCAAGGCAGGAGGAAGAGCCTCATACCAAGATGCAGATCAGAAAACATTTCAGACATGTCAATGGAAGCTCTATAGTAAAGACTCCCCATTAACGGAATCCTAACTAGGCACAAATAGTCAAACCCTACTACCCTGCCATTCTTCATCATTGACTGGGGGCTGCTTGAGAAGACCATAGCCTTGATTTGAAAGCTGAGACAGATCCTGAATCTGTACTTCTTGCAGCTGAAGGCAAGTTCTTTCTTGAGGGGAGATCTCAGTAACACATCTCCACACTGCCACTGCCATTTTCCATTTACACAACTCAAAAAATGTTAGCCACTTCTACAAGGTCTGAAATAATCCAACAGGTAAATTAACAAGTAATTGCTTTGCTTTGGCCAAGGGTTATTTAAAATGACAGAAAGAGAGTCTTTCTTTGTGTTTCTTAACTCTGCAATAGGGAGGCTGGAAATGGACATTTTAAAAAAGATACAATATGGCATAGTGGAAAAAGAATAGGGTTAGATAAAGTTGTATGTTATGACCCTTCTGGTTCCTACCAATGTCTTAGCAAACTATATCCTAGAAACCTCATTAGGAAATGAAATATTGCTGTAAAAAACACAGTTCCTACAGTGAAGTTTCATAGTTGAATTGAGGTGACTTAAAAGCCATCATTCTCAGCAAACTAACACAGGAACAGAACACCAAACACCGCATGTTCTCACTCATAGGTGGGAGTTGAACAATGAGAACACATGGACACAGGGAGGGGAACATCACACACCGGGGCCTGTCGGGGGCTGGGGGGCAAGGGGAGGGAGAGCATTAGGAGAAATACCTAATGCATGCAGGGCTTAAAACCTAGATGACAGGTTGATGGGTGCAGCAAACTACTATGGCACATGTATACCTATGTAACAAACCTGCACGTTCTGCACATGTCGCCCAGAACTTAAAGTAAAAAAAAAAAAGTCAGTAGTTACAAAAGGTCCTCTAATCATCATATAACCTCAATGTCCTTGTCAGCACAATCATTGTCATCATCACCACCATCATCATCAAGTGCTTACCATGTGCTGTATTCCATTCTAAGCCCTTTAAATGCATTATCCCATTTAAACCCCATATAAAAATTCTAAAAAATTAATTTGGTAGCTCAAAAGTATTTGTGGAATGAATAAGAAGAAGGAAAGGGAATTGGGCTGAGGGGGAGCAGAAGCCTTTCTAGGCAGAGGGAATGAAAGCAGGAAAGCATGGGAACAATGAGAACACTGGTGCTTTCAGGATTCTATCTACCTGTCATTCCTTGTATCAGAAGTATAAATTCCATATTGGGAAAGTGTGCAGAATAGAAAAAAACTGACAACAATGGGGGAATGAGGCAGATCTTGAAAAACTTTGTGATGTGAGCTATGACATTTACCTTTTGCATTAATAATGATGAAGAACCACTGGAGGAATTGAAGTCTTAGCTTCCTGCCTTTCTTTCTGGGCAAAATTGTATCCCTGCCCAGCTCTCAGGATTTTTATGGTTTAGTGTAACAGGATGTCCATACTGAGAGCATTAGGCAATGATACCATATAGTACATCAAGCCTTCTATAGTGCTGCCGCTTCTACATTGGTAACACCTGTGAGCTTGTCAGAAAAGCGAATTCTCTATCCCTCCTCCAGGTTGATTCAATCAGACTTTCTGAGGGTGCGGCTCAGGGATTTGTGTTTAACAGGCTCACCAGGTGATCCTCATAAGTTTGAGACGCTCCACTCAAAACCAGAGCTACTTCAAGTGTGGAGGTCTTCTCTCCGGAGCAGTCGGTCCACTGTTTCTGGCTTGTGAGGAAGGTGTGGACAGAAATTGAAGGTAAGTGTTTAGAATCACTTAAGCCATGAATCAGAGGATTTTATTTTAGCTGACTGTAATACTTAAAGTTTGGGTTTGTATTTTGTACGTCTTCTTTATTTCATTTTTCTGAATTAGTGTGTTTTACAAAGTAACAATTTGTGATGAATTGGGTGCACGCACACATGTACACTCATACAAATCAGTGCTTTATCCCAGAAGTGTGAGAAGCAGTCCTCTATACTGGGCCATTGTCGCTCTTTGGGCTCCTTTTCAAGTGTGGACACCTTGTTTATAGAGGACATCAAATATTCCAATTTGGGAGGGTAAATGTTAACATATTTTGCACTTTGAATATGCCATTATCATTCCCCAGGGCCTCCTGACTTCCTGCATTGGGACCACTTGACAAATGAGTCTGTTTTTCCTGGCTGCTGTTGCTAGGAAGCAACTTGCTCGGATACCAGCTTCTCACACTTCCCGCTGACTTCACTGTTTTCCAGATGTGTTCAGACCCAGAGATTAAACAATAGACAAAAGAGACAGAAGGAAAACAATTTACTGCAATATGTTTTGGTGGTGTTATCACCAACAATTTTTGAATTGGCCTATTGAAACAGAGAAAAAATACAGATAATTCTCATATTGTAAAATTACCAGAAGTACTTAATTTTCATGGAAACAAAATACCCTTTAAAAATATCATCAGAAGGCTGTGATGGTGCTATATAATGCTTCTAAGCTTTCTTTGGGGAGCCCTTGTGTTTTATAGTTTTGAGGGGGAGTTTACAGTACTTTTCTGCTTCTGTTTAATAAAATAGACTATGAGCTGTTCTCAAAAGGAGAATAATTTTTTCAATAGAACGTAAGTACATGAAATTAATGAATCTCTTTTTTATACAAAAAATCCATAAGCATGATCAAAAAATAATTTAATGATGGAAGCTGACTCGAGTTGTTATGGCAACTAGGATCTGAAAGTACCTGGCTGTGTTTTCTTTCCTCTTCCCTCCCGGATCCTTTTAAAAAAAAAAAAAAGTTGTCTTCCATCTGGTTTAATCACAGTGTTAAAATACCAATGTCAAAGAAAAGTATCTAATAAGGATAATTTCACATCTGTTGCAAGGCGAGTGATATTTCTTCTTAATAAGAAATAAATACAATAATGCAAAAGTCTTTTAGGAGAAAAGAATATGATTGTACATTATCATAAATTGCTAAAGAGTCCTTTTAATTATCTTAGGCTGTCATTCGTTAACTTGAATTATGGTAGTAGACTCATCTGTTTTCTTTTTCTTTTTTTTTCACCATAAGAGGAGAACATGGATGGAATTGTGGTTGGAGGGAGTTGGAGGTGGCATTCAGTTATCTTACGCTCCTTACCTAAGTATCCTCTATCAATTGTTGTGTAACAGCTGTTTTCTTTTGGTTTCGTGTTCTAATGCTAAAGAAATAAGGCTGTATTTTTGGAACTGAAACTTGGAAATTATATGTCTTTAGAAAATAAGAATCTTATAAAAGGTTTCATTTTGCTCTGCTTATTGCAGTTGGTCGCTATTTAATATCACACCATTCTCCTTAGTGCATATTTGAAAGGTGAGATTTTTATGAAATCCACATTGGCAGCCAATCAGTGAGAAGAGCTCAAATCAGAATAGCTCCACTGGAAATCCATCTCCTAAGCTGGGAGAAATATGTAGTAAATAGGGAAGCATTGTTTTTTTTGCTTTCTTCTAAAGCAAGTTATGGATTTTTAGGAATATACTATCACAGTCCATATGGAGGAGTGAGCCCACTGACCTGATGCCTGCGGCCATGTTGTTCCAATAGTAATCAAATGCAATGTTTTATTTTTATTATTTTTATTTTTTATTATACTTAAGTTCTGGGATACATGTGCAGAACACGCAGGTTTGTTACATAGGTATACATGTGCCATGGTGGTTTGCTGCACCGCTCAACCTGTCATCTACATTAGGTATTTCTCCTAATGCTATCCCTCCCCCAGTCTTCCACCCCTAACAGGCCCCAGTGTATGGTGTTCCCCTCCCTGTGTCCATCTGTTCTCATTGCTCAACTCCCACTTATGAGTGGGAACATGCGGTGTTTGGTTTTCTGTTCCTGTGTTAGTTTGCTGAGAATGATGGTTTTTGGTTTCATCTGTGTTCCTGCAAAGGATGTGAACTCATCCTTTTTTACGGCTGCATAGTATCCCATGGTGTGTATGTGCCACATTTTCTTTATCCAGTCTATCACTGATGGGAATTTGGGTTGGTTCCAAGTCTTTGCTATTGTGAATAGTGCTGCAATAAGCATATGTGCATGTGTCTTTATAGTAGAATGATTTATAATCCTTTGGGTATATACCCGGTAATGGGATTGCTGGGTCAAATGCTATTTCTGGTTCTAGATCCTTGAGGAATCACCACACTGTCTTCACAATGGTTGAACTAATTTACACTCCCATCAACAGTGTAAAAGTGTTCCTATTTCACCAGATCCTCTCCAACATCTGTTGTTTCCTTACTTTTTATTGATCGCCATTCTTACTGGCATGAGATGGTATCTCAATGTGGTTTTGATTTGCATTTCTCTTATGACCAGTGATGATGAGCTTTTTTTCATATGTTTCTTGGCCACACAAATGTCTTATTTTGAGAAGTGTCTGTTCATATCCTTCACCCACTTTTTGATGGGGCTGCTTTTTTTTCTTGTAAATTTGTTTCAGTTCCTTGTAGATTCTGTACCTTAGCCCTTTGTCAGATGAATAGATTGCAAAAATTTTCTTCCGTTCTGTAGGTTGCCTGTTCACTCTGATCATAGTTTCTTTTGCTGTGCAGAAGCTCTTTAGTTTAATGAGATCCCATTTGTCAATTTCGGCTTTTGTTGCCATTGCTTTTGGTGTTTTAGTCATGAAGTCTTTGCCCATGCCTATGTCCTGAATGGTATTGCCTAGGTTTTCTTCTAAGGTTTTTATGGTTTTAGGTCTTACATTTAAATCTTTAATCCATCTTGAGTTAATTTTTGTATAAGGTGTAAGGAAAGGATCCAGTTTCAGTTTTCTGCATATGGCTAGCCAGTTTTCCCAACACCATTTATTAAATAGGGAATCCTTTCCCCATTGCTTGTTTTTGTCAGGTTTGTCAAAGATCAGATGGTAGATGTAGACGTGTGGTGTTATTTATGAGGCCTCTGTTCTGTTCCATTGGTCTATATATGTTTTAGTACCAGTATCATGCTGCTTTGGTTACTGTTGCCTTGCAATATAGTTTGAAGTCAGGTAGCATCAGGATGCCTCCAGCTTTGTTCTTTCTGCTTAGTATTGTCTTGGCTATATAGGCTCTTTTTGATTCCATATGAAATTTAAAGTAGTTTTTTTCTAATTCTGCCAAGAGAGTCAATGGTAGCTTAATGGGAATAGCATTGAATCCATAAATTACTTTGGGCAGTATGGCTATTTTCATGATATTAATTCTTCCTAACCATGAGCATTGAATGTTTTACCATTTTTTTGTGTCTTCTCTTATTTCCTTGTGCAGTGATTCATAATCCTCCTTGAAGAGGTCCTTCACATCCCTTGTAAGTTGTATTCCTAGGTATGTTATTCTCTTTGTAGCAATTGTAAATGGGAGTTTACTCATGATTTGGCTCTCTTTGTCTATTGTTGTTGTATTGGAATGCTTGTGATTTTTGGACATTGATTTTGTATCCTGAGACTTTGCTGAAGTTGCTTATCAACTTACGGAGTTTTTGGGCTGAGACGATGGGGTTTTCTAAATACACTATCATGTCATCTGCAAACAGAGGTAATTTGACTTCCTCTCTTCCTATTTGAATATCCTTTATTTATTTCTCTTGCCTAATTGCCCTGGCCAGAACTTCCAATACTATGTTGAATAGGAGTGGTCAGAGAGGGCATTCTTATCTTCTGCCAGTTTTTAAAGGGAATGCGTCCATCTTTTGCCCATTCAGTATGATATTGGCTGTGGGTTTGTCATAAATAGCTCTTATTATTTTGAGGTATGTTCCATGAATACCTAGTTTATTGAGAGTTTTTAGCATGAAGGGGTGTTGAATTTTATTGAAAGCCTTTTGTGCATCTATTGAGATAATCATGTGGTTTTTGTCATTGGTTCTGTTTATGTGAAGTATTATGTTTATCTATTTGAATATGTTGAACCAGCCTTGCATCCCAGGGATGAAGCCGACTTAATCGTGGTGGATAAGCTTTTTAATGTGCCACTGGGTTCGGTTGGCCAGTATTTTATTGAGGATTTTCACATCGATGTTCATCAGGAATACTGGCCTGAAATTTTCTCTTTTTTTGCTGTGTCTCTGCCAGGTTTTGGTATCAGGATAATGCTGGCTTCATAAAAAGAGTTAGGGAGGGGTCCTTCTACTTCTATTGCTTGGGATAGTTTTAGAAGGAATGGTAACAGCTCCTCTTTGCACCTCTAGTAGAATTTGGCTGTGAATCCATCTGGTCCTGGGCTTTTTTTGGTTAGTTGGCTATTAATTACTGCCTCAATTTCAGAACTTGTTATTGTTCTATTTAGGGATTCACCTTCTTCCTGGTTTAGTCTTGGGAGGGTGTATGTGTCCAGGAATTTATCCATTTCTTCTAGATTTTCTAGTTTATTTGTGTAGAGGTGTTTATAGTATTCTCTGATGGTAGTTTGTATTTCTGTGGCATCGGTGGTTATATCCCCTTTATCATTTTTTTGGTGTGTCTAATTGATTCTTCTCTTTTCTTCTTTGTTAGTCTAGTTAGAAGTCTATCTATTTTGTTAATCTTTTCAAAAAAAAAACCAGCTCCTGGATTCACTGATTTTTTTTTTAAGGGTTTTTCACGTCTGTCTCCTTCAGTTTTGCTCTGATCTTAGTTATTTCTTCTGCTACCTTTTGAATTTGTTTGCTGTTGCTTCTCTAGTTCTTTTAATTGTGATGTTAGGCTGTCAGTTTTAGATCTTTCCCACCTTCTCCTGTGGGCATTTAGTGCTATAAATTTCCCTCTACACACTGCTTTAAATGTGTGCCAGATATTCCAGTACATTGTGTCTTTGTTCTCATTGGTTCCAAAGAATTTATTTCTGCCTTAATTTCTTTATTTACCCAGTAGTCATTCAGGAGTAGGTTGTTCAAGTTCCATGTAGTTGCGTGGTTTTCAGTGAGTTTCTTAATCCATTTGATTGCAATGTGGTCTGAGAGACTTCTGTGATTTCCATTCTTTTGCATTTGCTAAGGACTGAGGAGTGTTTTACTTCCAATTACATGGTGAATTTTAGAATAGGTGCAACGTGGTGCTGAGAAGAATGTATATTCTGTTGATTTGGAGTGGAGAGTTCTGTAGATGTCTATTAGGCTTGCTTGGTCCAGAGCTGAGTTCAAGTCCTGAATATCCTTGTTAATTTTTTGTCCCGTTGATCTGTCTAATACAGACAGGGGGGTGTTAAAGTCTCCCACTATTATTGTTTGGGACTCTAAGTCTCTTTGTAGGTCTCTAAGAACTTGCTTTATGAATCTGGGTGCTCCTTTATTGGGTGCATACACATTTAGGATAGTTACCTCTTCTTGTTGCATTGATCCCTATGTCTTTTTTGATTTTTGTTGGTTTAAAGTCTGTTTTATCAGAGACTAGGATTGCAACCCCTGCTTTTTTTTTTTTATAAGCAAATGAAAAGCAAAAAAAAAAAAACTTCCTCCATACCTTTATCTTGAGCCTATGTGTGAGATGGGTCTCCTGAATACAGCATACCAGTGGGTTTTGACTCTTCATCCAATTTACCAGTCTGTGTCTTTTAATTGGGGCATTTAGCCAGTTTACATTTAAGGTTAATATTGTTTTGTGTGTATTTGATCCTGTCATTATGATGCTAGCTGGTTATTTTGCCTATTAGTTGATGCTGTTTCTTCGTAGTGTTGATGGTCTTTACATTTTGGTATGTTTTTGCAGTGCCTGGTACTGGTTTTTCCTTTCCATATTTAGTGCTTCCTTCAGGAGCTCTTGTAAGGCAGGCCTGGTGGCGACAAAATCCCTCAGCATTTGCCTGTGTGTAAAGGATTTTATTTATCATTCACTTATGAAACTTAGTTTGGCTGGATATGAAATTCTGGGTTAAAGAAAAGAATTTAAGAATGTTGAATTTTGGGCCACCACTCTCTTCTGGCTTGTAGGGTTTCTGCAGAGAGATCTGCTGTTAGTCTGATGGGCTTCCCTTTGTGGGCAACCCGACCTTTCTCTCTGGCTGCCCTTAACATTTTTTCCTTCATTTCAACATTTGTGAATCTGATGATTATATGTCTTGGGGTTGCTCTTCTCAAGGAATATCTTTGTGGTGTTCTCTGTATTTCCTGAATTTGAATGTTGGGCTGTCTTTCTAGGTTGGGGAAGTTCTCCTTGATAATATCCTGAAGAGTGTTTTCCAACTTGGTTCCATTCTCCCCATCCCTTTCCGGTACACCAATCAAATGTAGGCTTGGTCTCTTCACATATTCCCATATTTCTTGGAGGCTTTGTTCATTCCTTTTAAGTCTTTTTTCTCTAACTTGTCTTCACATTTTATTTCATTAATTTGATGTTCAATCTCTGACATCCTTTCTTCTGCTTGATCGATTTGGCTATTGATACTTGTGTATGCTTCACGAAGTTCTTGTGCTGTGTTTTTCAGCTCCATTAGGTCATTTATGTTCCTCTCTAAACTGGTTATTCTAATTAGCAGTTCCTGTAACCTTATATCAAGGTTCTTAGCTTCCATGCATTGGGTTAGTACATGCTCCTTTAGCTCGGAGGAGTTTGTTATTACCCACCTTCTGAAGCCTACTTCTGTCAATTTATCAAACTCATTCTCTGTCCAGTTCTGTTCCATTGCTGGCGAGGTGTTGTGATCCTTTGGGAAAGAAGACGCATCCTGGTTTTTGGAATTTTCAACCTTTTCGCACTGGTTTTTTCTCATCTTCGTGGATTTGTCTACCTTTGGCCTTTGATGTTGGTGACCTTCAGATAGGGTTTTTGAGTGGTCATTTTTTGTTGTTGTTGTTGATGTTGATGCTATTGCTTTCTCTGTGTTAGTTTTCCTTTTAACAGTTGGACCCCTCTTCTGCAGGTCTGCTGGAGTTGACTGGAGGTCCACTCCAGAGCCTGTTTGCCTGGGTATCACCAGTGGAGGCTGCAGAAAAGCAAAGATTTCTGCCTGCTGCTTCCTCTGGAAGCTTGGCCCCAGAGGGGAACCTGCCAGATGCCAGCTGGAGCTCTCCTGTATGAGGTATCTGTCAGCCCCTTCTGGGAGGTGTCTTCCCATCAGGAAGCATGGGGGTCAGGGACCCACTTGAGGAGGCAGTCTGTCCCTTAGCAGAGCTCAAGCGCTGTGCTGGGAGATCCACTGCTCTTTTCGGAGCTGGCAGGCAGGAATGTTAAGTCTGTTGAAGCTGCACCTGTAGCCGCGCCTTCCCCCAGGTGCTCTGTCCCAGAGAGATGGGAGTTTTATCTATAAGCCCCTGACTGGGGCTGCTGCCTTTCTTGCAGAGATACCCTGCCCAGAGAGAAGGAATCTAGAGAGGCAGTCTGGCTACAGTGGCTTTGCCAAGCTGCAGTGGGCTCTGCCTAGTCCAAACTTCTGGGTGACTTTGTTTACACTGTAAGGGGAAAATTGCCTACTCAAGCCTCAGTAATGGTGGACACCCTTTCCCCCAATAAGCTCAAGCATCCTAGGTCAACTTCGGACTGCTGCCCTGGCAGTAAGAACTTCAAGCCAGTGGATCTTAGCTTGCTGGGCTCCATTGTGGTGGGATCCACTGAGCTAGACCACTCAGCTCCCTGGCTTCAGCCCCCTTTCCAGGAGAATGAATGGTTCTGTCTTGCTGGTGTTCCAGGCTCCGCTGGAGTAAGAAAAACAAAAACAAAAACAAAAAAACAAAAAACTCCTGCAGCTAGCTCAGTGTCTGCCCAAATGGCCACCCAGCTTTGTGCTTGAAACCCAGGGCCCTGGTTGCATAGGCACCCAAGGGAATCTCCTGATCTGTGGGTTGCAAAGACAATGGGAAATGCATAGGATCTGGGCTAGATAGCTCTATCCCTCAGGGCACAGTCCCTCAGGGCTTTTCTTAGCTAGGGGAGGGAGTTCCCTGACCCCTTGTACTTCCTGACGCTCCACCCTGCTTCGGCTTGCCCTCCATGGGCTGCACCCACTCTCTAACCAGTCCCAGTGAGATAAGCTGGGTACCTCAGTTGGAAATGCAGAAATCACCTGTCTTCTGCATCAGTCTCACTGTGAGCTGCCGACCAGAGCTCTTCCTGTTCAGCCATCTTCAAATGCAATGTTTTAGTACCTTCTTTTACATTCTTCATAGAAGAGGTATTAATCCAACTTAAGTATCTAACAGACTGATTTCATATGCCCTCTATTCTGAACAATCTTTTATCTGTAAAGAGGCTAACCTACAGAAAGTGTCTTTGTGGCTATTAGTAGTTACACTTAGCTAGAAGTGTTGAAAAGGACAAAGCAACCCATTTAACACAATAAAATCAGAGGTTGTCTGTGTGCTCCTGTGATCCCTATATGTTACTCTATAAATGACAAAAACAGGGCTATTTGTGAATATGATGCTACCGATCTGTGATCAATGTGCCTGTTCATCCTGAGTTACTTTTCTGATATTCCAATAAAAAGAGGTTCATTAAACAAAAAGCTGAATGTACAGAAACCAGGCAGTGAACTAATCTTGAGGGTTTCCTTTAAATATAACCTCCCTAGGTGAAGTTATGAATTAATATTATTTAACACCAGTAATCAATAAATTACATGAAATAAATAGGTGGGTTTGTGGCAGGTTGTATAAGTCAGCTGCTCTAGGTACGCACAACTCTATGCCTGTATTAGTCTGGATTCTCAGCTTCCTCAGAAACAGAAAAATAACAACTGAAACAGAAATCATTCATAAAGCAGTAGTTAATATATTCAGTAGTAGTAAGTTTATAGTAAGCCATATAGTTAAACATCCTAAGATTGTAAAATGCCAGAAAACAATAAGTTACTTGGACCCTAACTACTAGAATTACTCAAGTTTAACCGTGCATAATTTCCAGGTAGGAAATAATTTCCTCAAAAAAAAAAAAAGGTAGTTTTTAAACCTACTGTGGCATTCCGTATTAGGAGAAAGATTCTAGATTCTCAAAAGTTTCTTTGACCAAAACCTGATGAATAATTACTATATATAAGACTCAAAAAAGCTAAGTAATTTAGGTTTATACTGTGAACAGTGACAAGTGTAGAAATCCAAAGAAACATATCTTTGAAACCAACTCTCAGTAACTTTAGGCTTCTGTGAAACTCCTTATTAAAGGAATTTATCTACATTTGAAGTCCTATTTGTGTGGAAAATAATTATTTCAGATTGTTTATACTAGTAGTAGGTTGACTATTAGCCGAAGAGGTCATGCCTTCTTTTACTGAGATTTTTTTTTTCTTACCGCATAGGCCAATAAAGAAATTCCTCCTTTCTATAATTCCACGCTGAAGTAAATTTCCAAACCCAGAGAACACTCGGGTAGTTTTGTATGCCTGGGTTCCATAAGATAGTCAATTTCTGAGGAAGCTTAGGATAAAACTCCCCCGCAATGGGGGCAGTATTTCTACGTAACAAATTACCCTAACATTTACCATCTAAAAAAAATACATATTTATTAGCATATACTTTTGGGGGTTTGAGAATTCAGGGGCAGCTTAACTGGCTTGGGGCTGCAGTCAAGATGTTAGCTGGAGCTGCTTAAGTCATTTGAGGCTTAACTGGACCTGGGCATTATATCATCATGGTTCACTCACATGGTCAATGACAGGAAAACTGTTCCTCACTGGCTACTGGAAGGAAGCTTAGTTCCCTTCCATATGGACCTTTCCATAGGGCTGCTTGAGTATTATCATGACACGATGACGGATTGCTCTTTAGGCAGATGATCCAAGAGCAAGGTAACAAGGAGAAAGCTGTGATGCCTTGTAAGACTCAGTCTTAGAAGCACAGATCATCACATCTGCCATATTTGATTTGTTAGAAGCAAGTTACTAATTACAGCCCACATTCAAGGGGAGTTGAATTAGTTTCCACTTATCAAAGACAAGTGTCAATAAATTTTAGGATGTAATTTTAGAATCACAACAAATGATAATTAGCTGGGCTTCTCTAATTCCTGCTCTTAAGAGATTGATCTTGAGATGTAAAGAACAGACAGCAAAGATAGAATGAAGATACCAAGAAGACGTAGAAGCCAAGACTGTACTATAATTTTAGACTTGTTTTTTTGTTTTCCCTTGTTTCTCCCTCTCCCACCCCAAGGTTTCTCTCCTTGGCTTGCAGATAGCTAACCTTTCTCTGTATCTTCACAAGGTCTTCTCTCTGTGTGCAGCTGTGTCCTAATCTGTTCTTCTTACAAAGACATTATAATGTCACAGTGGATTAAATGGTCCACCTGAATAACCTCATTTTAACTTAATTATTTCTATAAAGAAAGACCCTATCTCCAAATACAGTCACATTCTGAGGTATGGGGTGGGTTAAAACTTCAACATATAGGCCAGGCATGGTGGCTCATGCCTGTAATCTCAGCACTTTGAGAGGCCGAGGTGGGCAGATCACGAGGTCAGGAGTTCAAGACCAGCCTAGCCAACATGGAGAAACCCCATCTCTACTAAAAATACAAAAAATTAGCCAGGTGTGGTGGCACACGCCTGTAATCCCAGCTACTCAGGAGGCTGAGGCAAAAGAATTGCTTGAACCTGGGAGGTGGCGGTTGCAGTGAGCTGAGATTGCACCCCTGCACTCCAGCCTGGGCGACAAAGTGAGACTCCATCTCAAAAAAAAAAAAAACAGAAAACACCAAACCAAAAAACTTCAACATATAAACTTGGGGGTGGTTGGGGGTGGTGGTGGTGAGGAGACACAATTTAGCCCATAACACTGTGTTTACATTTCATTAATATACATTATTTAAGAAAGTGTCTATTCAAATTTTTTGCTGTTTGTTAGACTTTTACGAATTATAAAAATTCTTCACATGTTCAGGATACAAGTTCTTTATTTTATATATAAAATATACATATGCAATATATAATAAAGGACTTGTATCCTTAAATGTAGTGTGTTTTTTCCAAGTCTGTGGTTTGACTGTTCATTTCCATAATTGTACCTTTTGAAGAGCAAAAGTTTTCAATTTTGATATTTAATTTATCTTAAATGGTTCTTCTTGTGTCCTGTCTAAGAAATCTTTCCTTATATTAGGATACAATTTTTTTTTTCTGTTTTCTTCTGGAAGTTTTATACATTTAGTTCATACATTTAGGACTAAGAATAATTTTTCATTATAGTATGAGTTAAGTATGGGCGCTCTCTCTCTTTTTTTTTTTTTTTGAGATGGAGTTTCACTCTTGTTGCCCAGGCTAGAGTGCAAAATGGCATGATATCACCTTACCACAACCTCCACCTCCCAGGTTCAAGCAATTCTCCTGCCTCAGCCTCCGGAGTAGCTGGGATCATAGGCATGTGCCACCATGCCTGGCTAATTTTGTACTTTTAGTAGAGATGGGGTTTCTCCATGTTGGTCAGGCTGTTCTTGAACTCCTGACCTCAGGTGATCCACCCACCTCGGCCTCCCAAAGTGCTGGGATTACAGGTGTGAGCCACTGCACCTGGCCTGGGTTTTCTCTTCTTACATATAGATATTCTAGCATCACCTATTGAAAACACTATCCTTTTTCCACTGATTTGTTTCGTGACCTTTGTTGAACATCAGTTGACAACGTGTGAGTCTCAATACAACATTGTCTTGATTTCTGTAGCTTTGTGGTCATTCTTGAACTCATAATGTGGGTCCTTCCAACTTTTTTCTTCTCCTTAAAAGTTGTTTTGCCTATTCTAGGTTCTTACAATTTCATATAAGTTTTAGAATCAGCTTAACAATTTATTTACAAAATCTTTCTGGGATTTTCAGTGGCATTTTGTTGAATCTATATCAATTTGGGGAAAATTGGCATCTTAACGCTATAGAGCTGAAGGGGTTAAAAATATGCTTCTTTGGCAAGTTGACTATTTCTAGTTAAAGACAATCTAGTTAAAGAAAAATAGCAGGGGGAAGAAGATCACTCATACCTTTTTTGTGTGTCTTGAAAGCAGGAGGTGGAATTCCTATGTAAAAGATTTCCTTCCTATATCAGGAGGAAAGCATCATTTTCATCAGCAAGGACAGGAAATTAAGGATGAGGAAAATTTGTACAAACAAACATTGTTAGACTAATCTTTATCTTCCTAGCCCCTTCTCTACACAGTTAACTACCTTAGCCCAAACCCCTTTGCCTTGTCACATTTTCATAATTTACTACTCTAACTCAGTATGTAAGTGTTCATGTCTAACTGTGTCTTTGAGTCTTCATTTCTTTATGAGGGCTCCCATGCCATGTAAAACTTGTATTAAACAGATTTGTATAATTTTCTCCTGTTGATCTGTCTTATCTCAATTTAATCCTCAGGCCCATCTGAGAAGTCCTAAAAGGGAGGAAGTAAAATTTTGCCTCCCCTATAGAGCCTTCCAATTCATCATGAAATAGAATATACCGTGGAATACCATGGAATTCACCGTGGTATATCCTTGCGTTTTTTAGGCCTTCTCTAATTTCACTAAGGAATAGTTTACAATATTCTGTGTAATCGTTTTTCACATATTTTGTTATCTTTAACCTTAAATATTATATAGTTCTGATAATCTGTTATGTTTAAAAATTTTAAGTCCCATTATTTTGCTAATAGGTATAAATACAACCGATTTATTTATTAAATTTGCATCTTGCAAACTTGATAAATTCACTGATTGGAACTAATGCTTTTTTTGTAGATACTTTAGTAATTTCTATGTGAAAACTATATCTTATTGATTAAAGCCGGTTTAACTTCTTCCTTTCTACTGTTTATTTTATTTTTTTCTTGGCTTATTATCATTGCCAGGAGTTTCAACACACTTTTGCATAGAGGTGATGTATTTAGAAATCCTCACCTTGTGCTGATTTTGGAAGGAACAATTCTTACACTATTGAGTATGCTATTAGCTATAGGTTTATGTTGTTGCCCTTTATCAAAGTAGAAAAGTTCTATTCCTAGGAGGCTGAAAGTTTGTGATGAATGAGTATTGAATTTTATCATATGCTATTTCTGGATATATTGATATGATCATTCAGCTTTTCTTTTTCAGTTTCTGAATATGGTTAATAACACTGGAGTTTCAAATATTAAACCAATCTTGGTTTCCCACTTGTTATGATACGCAAACCTTTAAAAATAGTTTATATTTTCATAGGGACATTTTATACTTAGTTCTTTAGTAATACTAGTCTAATTTTCTCATGTCTTTGTCTGGTTTGGTACCAGGGAGATGCTGGTCTGAAATAATGAGTTAAGAAGTGCTCCCTCATCTTTTATTTTCTGGACAACTCTTCAGAATTGATCTACTTTCTCTCAAAAATGTTTGGAAGAATTTAGCAGTGATCTCATCTGGACCTGATGTTTCCTTTTTGAGAAATTTATAAATTACTAATTTAATCTTTAAAAATACATATGAAACTATTCAGATTAACTATTTCTTTTTAGTGAGCTTTGGTGTTTATACTTTTTAATGAATTTGTCCATTCTGTTTATAATGTTAAATTTATTGTCATGAAATTCTTCAGAATAGTCTCTTTTTATCTGTAGTATCAGGAGCAGTGTCCCCTCGTTCATTCTGATATTTTTCCTTATCGGTGTGGCTAGATCAATTTTATTAACCTTCTGGAACCAGCTTTTATTTATATTGGTTTTTCTCAACTGTTTTCCTGTTTGTTGTTGTTGTTGTTGTTGTTCACTGATATCTTTTATTTGTATTTGTTCCCTCAGTCTTATTCTGGGTTTAATTTGCTGCTCTTTAGTTTCTCAGAGTTGGATCTTAGATTACTGATTTGAAACTTTTCTTCTTTCTACATAAGCATTTAATGCTGTGGATTTCCCTCCTATCACGACCTATCACAAATTTGATATGTTGTTCTTTTATTATCATTCAGTTAAAATATTTTCCATTTTTATTTTTTCTTCGCTCCATATATTTTTTTAGAATAATATGATTTAATTTCTAAATCTTTGCAGGTTTTCTATATTCTATTGCTTTCTACTTTAATATTCTGGTCAAATGACATTTTCTTTTAATGAATTCAGTTCTCTCAAAATTGGTAAAAAATAGTTCAAGACCCACAATATTGTCTATATTGGTGAATGTTTTATGTGTACTTGAAAATAATGTATATTTTGCTGTTTTAGGGTTGAGTGTTCTTTTAAATGTCTATTACAATAATTTGGTTGATTGTGCTATTTATGTTGTCTACAACTCTACTGATTTTCTGCCTGCCTTTTCTATCAATTAATGAGAGACAAATGTTAATCTCCAACTATAATGTTAGACTTGTTTCTTTCTCCTTTCCTTTCTATCTTTTTTGTATTACATATTTTGTAACTGTCTTGTTATGTACAAGCACATTTAAGATAATTAAGTCATCTTTATCCCATTAGTCACTGGAAACATTCTTCATGCTGTAATCTATTTTGTCTGGATTAATATAGCCACTCTGACTTTTTAAAAATTACTGTTTGTATGATAAGGCTTTTATACGTTCTTTTAATTTCAATCCATATCCTTATGTTTAAGATGATCTCTCAAAGACAGCATATAATTGTGTCATCTTTTATCCAGTGACAATTGAAGAGACTATATCATTTACATTTAATGTAATTATCAACATGGTTGGCTTGAAATCTACCATTTTTCCAATTCATTTCTATTCTATTGCTCTTTAGTCCGTTTTTGTTTCACATTTTGAATAAATTGAGTATTTTTTGATTCTAATTTATCTATACTATTGGCTTTTGATCTTAAATCACACATTAAGAAACTCTTCCAAGGTCTATGACATATGTTTTTATTTTATCACAATCTCCTTTAAGTAATGGCAAATCACATCAAGTTTAAGTACCTTACAACAATATACTTCAATTTCCTACCTGAAATCCTTTATCCTATTGTTGCCACGTTTTGCTTCTACATATGCTGTAAGTCCCGTACAATACTGTAATTAGTCTTGCTTTAAACTGCCAATTATCTTTTTCAGCTCTATTGAGGTAGAATTGAGAAATGAAAATTGTATATATTCAATGTGAATAATGTAATATATATACCCAGAAGTGGGCTTGCTGGATGATATGGTAATTCTATCTTTAATTTGCGAGTATTCCTTAGAAAAAATGTCTGTTCAGGTCCTTTGCTCATTTTTAATCCGATTTTTAAGACTATTGAGTTGTGTGAGTTCCTTACATATTTTTAATATTAACCTTTTATCAGATATAGTTTATAGATTTTTTTTCTCCAAATCTGTATGGTACCTTTCCATTTTGTGGATTGTTCCCTTTACTGTGCAGAAACTTTTAGTTTGCTGTAGTTCCACCTGTTTAGTTCTTGCTTTGGTTGCTTGTGCTTTTGTCATATCAAAAGTTTTTTTTGCCAAGACCAATGCCATAGAGTTTGCTCTCTGTTTTCTTCTAGTAGTTTTACAGTTTTGAGTCTTAAGTTTAAGTTTTTAACACATTTTCAGTTGATATGGGGGAAATGGTGTAAGATAAGAATCAATTTACTTCTTTTTTTCTGGACATTCAGTTTTCTTAATACCATCTGTTGAAGAGATTATCTTTTCCTTACTGTGCATTCTTGGTGCTGTGATTAGAGATTAGTTTTTCATATATGCATGGGTTTATTTCTGTGTTTACTATTCTGCTCCATTGATCTATGCATCTATTTTTATGCCAGTACCATTCGATAGCTTTATATTATACTGATTACTATAGCTTTTTAATATAAATTGAAATCAGAAAGTGGGATGCCTCCAGTTATGGTCTCCTTGCTCAAGATTGCTTTAGATATTTGTGGCCTTTGCTGGTTCTGCAGAAATTTTAGAATCGGTTTTTCTATTTCTGTAAAATTGCCATTGGAATTTTATAGAGATTGCACTGAAGTTATTGGTTGCTTTGCATGTTATGGCGAGATTGACAATGATTCTTCTGACCCATGAACATGTGCTATCTTTCCATTTACTTGTGTCCCATTCAATTTCTTTCATTAACATTTTATGGTTTTCATTACATAGATCTTTCACCTTCTTGGGTAGGTTTATTCCTAAGAATTTTATTGTTTTTGATGCTATTGTAGATGTGATTATTTTCTGAATTTATTTTTTGGATAATTAGTTGTTAATGTATAGAAACACTATTGATTTTTTATGTTGATTTTGTATGCTGAAATTTTCTAGAATTTGTTGTTGTAAAAATTTTCTGGTAGAGTTTCTACAGATATATTTTTTTTCATGTAATCTGCAAACAATTTTACTTTTTCCTTTCCAATTTGGATGCCTTTTATTTCTTGCCAAATTGCTCTGGCTAGGACTTCCTAGACGTGGTGAATGAGTATCCCTGTCATGTTCCTTACCTTGGAGAAAAAGCTTGTAAGTTTTTGTCATTGAGTATGATATTAACTGTGGGCTTGTGATATGTGGCATATTGTACAAATTTGTGACATGTCAATTATCCTTTAAAGAGAATATAAAATAAAGTAAATGTTTTCTTTTTAAATATTTACCCACATTGATGCCATTTCTGGCACTGTTCATTTCTTCATGCTGATGCAACTTTTCACCTGCTATCACATTCTCTTTGGTGGGGAAAAAAATCTTCCTTAAATATTTTATGTAGTGTAGGGCTCTTTGCCATAAATTTTATTTTCTTTTGTTTGTCTTTAAAAGTATTCATTTTGCCTTCAATTTTAAAACACATTTTTCTAGGTACAGTATTTTATATACATATATATATACACATATATATATACATACACACGTATATATATACACACACACACAAACACATGAAATTTTATTGTGGTGAGAACAGTTAACATGAGATCTACCCTCTTAATAGATGTCTAAGTGTATAATAAATACACTTATAATCAATATTATTGATTATAGTCAATATTATACAGCAGATCTCTAGAACTTTTTAATCTTGCTTGACTGAAATTTTATGCCCATTAAATATTAAATTCCATTATCTCATTTCACTCTTTGATTTTATAAATTCAACTATTTTAATATGTTTAAAGTTTTTGTTATGAAAATTTCAAGCATAGATTAAAGAATACTATAATGAATGTCCTCATATCCATCACCCACCTTCAACAATTGCCAACTCATGGTCAATCTTGTTTCATTGATATTCCCACTCAGTCTACACCCCACATCCCAAAATACACATATTCTCTGCTAAATACATACACAAGTATCTCTAAAGCATAGGGACTATTTATTTTCTTAAATATAAGCACACCACCATATTCTCACACAAAAAAGAATTAAAAATAATTCTTCATTAAAATATTCCATCAGCATTCCTATGACTGATTGTCTTAATCTTTCTTATGATAAACCTGTTCAAATCAGTATTCAAACAACACAGAGACATTACATGTGGTTGATATCACACTTGTCTCTTTAAGAAAATTTTTAATTTTTATGGGTACATGGTAGATGTAAATATTTATGGGCTACATGAGATATTTTGATACAGGCATACAATATGTACTAATCACATCAGGGTAAATGGGATATCTGTCACCTCAAGTGTTCATAATTTCTTTGTGTTACAAACATTCCAATTGTACTTTCTCGGTTATTCTAAAATGTACAGCAAACTACTTCTGGCTGCAGTCACCCTGTTGTGCTATCAAATACTAGATCTTATTCATTATATCTAAATATATTTTTATACATGTTAACCTTTCTTCACTACCCTTCCAAACCCCTGGTAACCATCATTCTACTCTTTATCTCCATGAGTACAATTGTTTGAAGGTTTAGCTTCCACCATTGAGTGAGAACATGTCAGTTTGTCTTTCTGTGATTGGCTTATTTCACTCAAAGTAATGGCTTCCAGTTCCAACCATGTTGTTGCAAATGACAGGATCTCATTCTTTTTTTATGGCTGAATGGTACTCCATTGTGTATATATACCACACTTTCTTTATCCATTCATCTACTGATGGACACTAAGTTGTTTTCAAATCTTGGCTATTATGAATAGTGCTGCAATAAACATGGAAGTGCAGATATCTCTTCCATGTACAGATTTCCTTTCTTTTGGGTATACACCCAGCAGTGGGATTCCTGAATCATATGGTAGTTCTATTCTCAATTTTTTTTGAGGAACTTCTATGGTGTTTTCCATAGTGGCTATAATAATTTGCATTCCCATGAACAGTGTATCAAAATTCCCTTTTCTCCACATCCCTCACCAGCATTTGTTATTGCCAGTCTTTGAATAAAAGCTGTTTTAACTGGGGTAAGATGATAGCTCATTGTAGTTTTGATTGGCATTTCTCTGATCAATGATGTTGAGTATCTTCTCATATGCTTGTTTGTCTTTAGAAAAAAATGTCTATTCAGATGTTTTGCCCATTTTAAAAGTCAAGTTATTAGGTTTTTCCTATAGAGTTATTTAAACTCTTTTTATATATTCTGGTTATTAGTCCTTTGTCAGATGGATAGTTTGTAAATATTTTTTCCTGTTCTATGGATTGTCTCTTCACTTTTTTTTTCTTTGCTGTTCAGAAGCTTTTTAACTTGATGTGATTCCATTTGTCCTTTTTGCTTTGGCTACCTGTGCTTTTAGGGTAGTATTAAAAAATCTTTACCCAGACCAATGTCCTGGAGAATTTCCACAATGTTCTTCTTTAGTAGTTTTATAATTTGAGGTATTCGATTTAAGTCTCTAATCCATTTTAATTTGATTTTTGTATGTGATGAGAGACAGGGATCTAGTTTCTTTCTTCTGTATATGGATATCTAGTTTTGAGAGCACCCTTTGTTGAAGAGACTGTCCTTTCCTCAATGTATGTTCTGGCATCTTTGTCGAAAATGAGTTCACTGTAGATCTACAGATTTATTTCTGGATTCTCTATTCTGTTCCATTGGTCTATGTGTCTGTTTTAATGCCAATACCATGCTTTTTTGGTTACTACAGCTCTGTAGTATAATTTGAAGGTATTATGATTCCTCCAGTTTTGTTCTCTTTTCTCAGGATGGCTTTGGATATTCTTGGTCTTTTGTGGTTCCATATAAATTTTAGTATTGCCTTTTCTATTTCTGTGAAGAATATCACTGGGATTTTGAAAGGAATTGCATTGAATCTGTAAATTGCTTTGGGTGGTATGAACATGTTTACAATATTGATTCTTCCATCCAAGGACATGGAATATCTTTCAATTTTTTGTGTTCTCTTCAATTTCTTGCATCAATGTTTTAGTTTTCATTGTAGAGATTTTCAGTTCTGTGGTTAAGTTTATTCCTAGGTGTTTTATTTTATTTGTAGCTACTGTAAGATTACTTTGTTGATTTCTTTTTCACACTGTTCACTGTTGGCATATAAAAATGCTACTAATTTTTGTATGTTAATTTTTTATCCTTTAACTTTACTGAATTTTTGAAAACATTCTAAAAATTTTTTGGAGGAATCTTTAGTTTTTTCCAAATACAAGATTCTATAACGTACAAACAATGATAATTTAACTTCTTCCTTTCCAATTTGGATGCCTTTTATTTCTTTCTCTTGTCTGATTTCTCTAGCTTAGATTTCCAATACTATGTTTTATAACTGTGATCAAAATGGGCATTTTTGTCTGTTCCAGATGCTAGAAGAAAGGCTTTCAGCTTTCCCCATTTAGTATACTAGCCATGGGTCTATCATATATGGACTTTATTGTGTTTAGGTGTGTTCATTCTATTTCGGTTTTTGAGGGTTCTTCATGATGAAAGAATGTTGAATTTTATCAAATGCTTTTTCAGTGTCAAATGAAATGATAATATGGATTTTATCTTTCATTGTGTTGATATGATATATCACATTGATTTTGCATATGTTGAACCATTCTTGTATCCAGGGATAAATCCCACTTGTCGTGATAAATGATCTTTTTAACATATTGTTAAATATGGTTTGCTAGTATTTTGTTGAGGGTTTTTGCATCAATGTATATCAAGGATATTGGCCTGTAGTTTTATTTTTTTTTTTGACATGTCTTTGTCTTATATTGGTATCAGGGTAAAACCGGGTTTGTAGAATGAGTTTCGAAGTATTCCTTCCTCTATGTTTGGGAATAGTTTAAATAGGACTGGTATTAATTCTTCTTTAAATGTTTAGTAGAGTTTAGTAGTGAAGCCATTGGGTCACTGACTTTAGTAGAAGACTTTTTATTGCAGATTTGATCTTGTTACTGGGCTATTCACGTTTTGGACTTCTTCATGGTTCAATTTTGGTAGGTTGTAGGTATCTAGGAATTTATAAATTTCTTGTAAACTTTCCAATTTATTGGCATATAGTTGCTTGTATTAGTCTCTAATGTCCCTTTGAATTCGTGCAGCATCAATTGTAATGTCTCTTGTAATCTGATTTTATTATGGGATTCTTTCATTTTTTCTTAGTCTGGATAAAGAATTGTCACTTTTGTTTATCTTTTTTTTTTTTAAAAAAAAGCTTTACATTTTGTTCTTTTGTATGTTTTTTCATTTCAATTTCATTTCTTTCTGCTCTGATCTTTATTTCTTTTCTTGTACTAATTTTGGGTTTGTTTCTCTTGCTTTCCTAGTTCTTAAAGATGCATTTTTAGGTGGTTTATTTGAAAATTTTCTATGTTTCATGTACACGTAGGTACCTGTTGCTACAAACTTTCCACTTAACACTGCTTTTTCTGTGTCCCTTAGGCTTTGGTATGTTGTGTTTCCATTTTTATTTGTTTCAAGGAATTTTTAAATTTCTTTTTAAATTTCATCATTGACCCACTGGTCATTCAGGATCATATTGTTTAATTTCTATGTGTCTTTATAGTTTCCAAAGTTCTTTTTATTAATTTTTAGTTTTTTTCTATCATGGCCAGCCATATACTTGATATGGCTAAAAATCTCTTGAATTTTTAAAGTCATATTTTATAACCTAACATCTGGTCTATTCTTAGAATGACCCATGTGCTGAGAACAACGTGTTTTCTGCAACCATTTGATGAAATGTTCTGTAAATATCTATTAGGTCTATTTCATCTGTAGTGTAGATTAGGTCAGATGTTTCCATGTTAATACTTCTGTCTGGATAATTTGTTCAATGTTGAAAGTGGGTTGTTAAAATTGCCAACTATTATATTGGAGTCTATCTCTCTCTGTAGTTCTAATAATATTAGCTTTATATATCTGGGTGCTCTAGTGTTGGGTGCATATATATTTATAATTGCTATATCCTCTTGCTAAATTGATCCTTTTTTCATTATATAACAATTTCTTTGTCTCTTTTTATAGTTTTTGTACTAGAACCTATTTTATCTGATAAGTATGGCTACTCTTGCTGTTTCTTGGGTTTCATTTCCATGTAATATCTTTTTCCATTTCTTAATTTTCAGTCTGTGTGTATCTTCATAGGTGAAGAGTATTTCCTGTAGGCAACAGGTTACTGGGTCTTGTTTTCTTAATCCATTCAGCCACTCTATGCCTTTAGATTGAAAAATTTAGTCCATTTACATTTAATGTTATTGATAAATAAAGACTTATTTCTTCTATATTCTCATTTGTTTTCTGGTTGTTTTTTGGTCTTCCCTCCCTCCCTGCCTCCGTTGCCCTCCCCTCCCTGCCTCCGTTGCCTTCCCCCTCTGCCTCCATTGCCCTCCCCTCCCTGCCTCTGTTGCCCTCCCCTCCCTGCCTCCGTTGCCCTCCCCTCCCTGCCTCCATTGCCCTCCCCTCCCTGCCTCCATTGCCCTCCCCTCCCTGCCTCTGTTGCCCTCCCTTTCTTCCTTTCTTCCTTCCTTTCTTCCTTTCTTCCTTCCTTTCTTCCTTTCTTCCTTCCTTTCTTCTTTGTGAAAGTGATTTTCTGTGGTATGTTTTAATTTCTTTCTTTATATTTTTGTGTATTTGTTGTAGGCTTTTTTTGAGATTACCATGAAATTTGAAAATAACATCTTACAACTCATTATCTTTAATGACAACTGTACTCTGATTGCAAAAATAGGCAAAGAGAACCAACAAAAACTCTACAGTTTAACTTCATTCCCCCATTTTTTAGGTTAATCTTTTAGTCTTGCTACTCAAGATACGAATGGTATACACACCATAATTACAGTATTATATTATCTATTTTTGTACTTACTGTTACCACTGAGTTTTATGTCATCAAATGATTTTTTTTTTTTTTTTTTGGCAGGGGGAGAGAAAGTCTCACTCTGTTGCCAGGCTGGAGTGCAGTGGTGCAATTTCGGCTTGCTGCAACCTCTGTTTACCAGGTTCAAGTGATTCTCCTGCCTCACCCTCCCGAGTAGCTGGGATTACAGGTGCCCACCACCATGCCCAGCTAATTTTTGTATTTTTAGTAGAAACGGGGTTTCATCATGTTGTCCAGGATGGTCTCGATCTCCTGACCTTGTGACCCACCCACCTTGGCCTCCCAAAGTGCTAGGATTACAGGCATTAGCCACTGCACTGGGCCCTATCAAATGATTTCTTATTGCTTATTCATGTCCTTTCTTTCAGACTGAAGAACCCTGCTTAGCATTTCTTATAGGATAGGTCTGGTGTTGACAGAATTCCTCAGCTTTTGTTTGTCTGTGAAAGTCTTCATTTCTCCTTCATGTTCAAAGGAAATTTTCACTGGATATACTATCCTAGGGTAAAAGGCTTTTTCCTTCAGGACTTTAAATATGTCATGCCATTCTCTCCTGGCCTATAAGTTTTCCACTGAAAAGTCTTCTGTCAGACTTACTGGTGTTCCATTATATGTTATTTGCTTCTTTTATCTTGTTGCTTTTAGGATTCTTTCTTTATCTCTGACCTTTGGGAGTTTAATTATTAAATGCCTTGAGGTAGTCTTCTTTGTGTTAAATCTTCTTGGTGTTCTATAACTTTCTTGTACTTGAATATTGATATCTTTCCCTAGGTTTGGAAAGCTCTCTTATCTTTTTAAGTAAAGTTTCTACCCTGATCTCTCCCTCTCTATCTCCTCATTAAGGCCAATAACTTAGATTTGCCCTTTTGAAGCTATTTTCTAAGTCTTATAGGCATGATTCATTATTTTTTATTTTTTCAACTACTCTATGCATTTTCAAGTACTCTGTCTTCAAGCTCACTAATTCTTCTGCTTGATCAGCTCTGCTCTTGAGAGACTCTGATTCTTTCTTCAGTTTGTCAATTGAATTTTTCAGCTCCAGAATTCCTGTTTGATGCTTCTCAATTATTTCAATCTCTAGAGATACCTCTATACTGTTTTGTATAGTGGCTATACTGTTGGTATTCTTCCCAACAGTGTTCAACTGTTCTAATATCTCTACATCCTCACCAACACTGATCTTTTCTCTATTTCTCAATGTACTTTAAGTATATCTCTCTACTCTTTTCTTATTTGTGTAATTTCTGATACATAGTCTGATATTTTATCTTTGTCCTTTCTGGATTCTTTTAAGATTCTTGTTATCAGTGATTTTTTTTTCCAGCAATTTGATTATGATGTGTGTTTGTATGATTTTCTTTAGAAATCTTCTGCTTGATATTCATTGATAGTCTTACCTTTGTGTATTTATGTTTTTTTAATCCAAATTTTGAATTTTTTTGCCATTATTTCTTCAAATACTTTTGCTGACATCTGCTCCCCAAACTTTTAAATTTTCTTTTCTGGGAATCCAGTTTTATTTTTGTTTTGTTTTGTTTTGTTTTTGTTTTTGTTTTCTGTTTTTTTGTTAGATGGAGTCTTGCTCTGTCACCAGGCTGGAGTGCAGTGGCGCGATCTCTGCTCACTGCAACCTCCACCTCCTGGGTTCAAGCGATTCTCCTGCCTCAGCCTCCTGAGTATCTTATAGACACTTGATGTTGCCCTACAAGCTCACTACATCTCTGTTCATTTTCTTTTATTTGTCTTGGTGTTTTATTTTGTATAGTTTTCATTACCATATCATCAAGTCACTGATCATCTCTTCTACATTGTCTAATCTACTGCTAATCCTATCTTGTATATTTTCTTTTCATTTCACATATTGCATTTCTCATCACTAGAAGTTATATTTAAGCCTTTTTTACATTTTACATTTGTCCTATGCTCATGGTTTTACTCTATATTCTTAAACATATGAAGCATATTTATAATAGCTGTTTTAATTTCATTACCCACTGTTTTTCATTTATCTGTTTCTATTAATTGATATTTATCCTAATCATAGATCTTATTTTCCTGCTTTTTATTTTCTTTTCTTTTTTCTTTTTTTTTTTTTTTCCGAGACAGAATCTCCCTCCGTCGCCCAGGCTGGAGTTCAAATGATTCTCCTGCCTCAGCCTCCCAAGTAGCTGGGATTACAAGCATGTGCCACCACACTTAGCTAAATTTTATATTTTTAGTAGAGACGGGGTTTTGCCATATTGGCCAGGCTGGTCTTGAACTCTTGACCTTAAGTGATCCACCTACCTCGGCCTCCCAAAGTGCTGGGATTTCAGGCATGAGCCACTGTGCCCAGCCTTTCCCGCTTTTTTTTGAATGCCTAATGATTTTTGATACCAGACTCTTACATTATGTTCAAGTTTGTTACGTTACTTTATACATTGTTGGATTTTTGTTATGGTTTGCAGTTCAGTTGCTTGGATTTAGTTAAATCCTTTTGAAGCCTTTAAGCTTTGTTAAGAAATGTACAATGATGTCTTCAATCTAGTAATAATTTATTCTCTCCACTAAGGCAATATATTTTGATGACTCTACCCATGCCCCATGGATTTTGATGGCTTTCCATTCTGGCTTATTAAGGGCCAAAAATTGTTCAGTCCTGTATGAGCTTCAGAAATTGTGATGCCTGTTCCTTTCCAGTGGTTATTTCTCTGGGCTTAGGAAGCATTCTCTTACACATGGACAGATCAATCTTAAGCCAAAGACTTTACTAGATCCTGCTGCAGATCTTAAGGGCTTTGTATGTGTAGCTGCTGTTTTCTGGTACTCGGGACCACACATCTTAGCCATCTTGCCGTCTAGAAACACTAACATTCTTTCTCTTTAATTCAGCAAAACTCTTAGGTTGTTTTACACTCCTCTTCAGTGTACTGTGGTCTGGAACTTGCTCATAGGCAGCAAACTGGAGCAACTGTAGGGTTCACCCAATTTATTTCCATCTTCTCGGCAATCACAATCCCGATCTGCCCATTATCCAATATCTGAAAAATATTTTTTTCATATATTTAGTTTTCTAGCTATTTAAAGTATAATGGTAAACTACCTCATTATTTTATCTTAGCCAGTAATAGACATTCCATTCTATCCTCATTATTTTAACTGTTGCATTTAAAATAACACGTTTATTAATGACATAATTTTAATAATTTGGTTCCAAATGTTAGAGATTCAAGTTGTTTCCAATTTATCAAAACTCTTGTTTTCATAAACATCATTGTACATAAATCTTTGAATTAGTTATTTTGTTTAGTTAGCTTCCCTAGAAGAGGAATTACTAGATAAAAAAAATTTAAACACTTCTTATATTCTTGATAGATGTGGAGCAAGTTGCCTTTTAGAAAGCAAGTGCCAACTTACAGGCATCTCTACTTATACCAATAGCTAACATTCATTGAGCTCTTAATATGTCACTTAATGTTATAAATGTGCTTAAAAATGCTGATTTGTTCAATCTTCACAACAAACTTAGGAGCTAGACACTATTAATAGCACCATTTGAAAGATGAGAAAACCAAGGTACAAGATTTAAAGACGTAAAGATTTTAAGTAATAGCTGATAGATGTTGTGTTCAGAATTCAAACAAAGGCAATGAGGTCCCAGATCCTCCATTCTAACTCCACATTCTACCTCCTTACAAACATTGTTATTATTTAAAATCTTTGCAAATTATTCGCAAAATGGTATCTCATTCTTTCAATTTGATTACTAGTAAAATTGAAATGTTTTTGGTATTTCTTAGCTTTTTATTTCCTCTCTAATAGGGTAAATATCTGTGTCTTTTGCCTGTCTCATCCCTTTAAGACTAGCTGCCCTAAAGTGGGAAATGTGAGTAAGACGTTATGGAACTATGAAATTCCAGAAATGCACAATGCTGGCACTGTAAAAGTGGTTCAAGATCCTGACCCTAGTGTTACTCTGTAGATGGGGGTGAAATGCCAGGTTTGGTCACTATGGTCGTATCTATAGTGAAGACCTGTCCTAATGGTTTCAACTCTAGGTAGTCTCAATGTTTCTGGAGGCGCAAGCAAAGAAGAGAATTAGAGGTTCTCTAGTGTTCTTGGAATTAGTAGCTTAAAAGAGAACTCAAAATAGTATTAAGGGTAGCCAACACTACTCTTCTTTGAATGAGGAAAACATTTAATTTGAAGGATTATTTGGTCAGTAGATAATCAACATCATTTTAAAAATAGGTTTTAAGGCTGTATTTATAGTGCTTTTTGGCAATTCTAAGCAACTACATTTGGCTTAAAGATAATCTTGACAAAATCAAAATATTTCAAATTCTTTTCAGAATTTTTTCTCAGTACATATGACACAGGGAAAACAAATATTGTGAATGCTTTTACATTGAAAATGAATGATAAATACATTAATAAATTGTTATATTTCTTTTCTTTTCTTTCTTTCTTTTTTTCTTTTTTTTTTTTTGAGACAGGGTCTCACTCTGTTGCCCAGGGTGCAGTGCAGTGGCGCAGTCTTGGCTCACTGCAACCTCTACTTCCCGGGTTCAAGTGTGAACTCATGCCTCACCTCCTGACTAACTGGGATTACAGGTGCGTGCCACCATGCCTGTCTAATTTTTGTATTTTTAGTAGAGATGGGGTTTCACCCTGTTGGCCAGGCTGGTCCTGAACTCCTGACCTCAAGTGATCCCCCCACCTCGGCCTTCCAAGTGCTGGAATTACAGGCATGAGCCACCATGTCCAGCCTCATTGTTATATTTCTAAAGCATTTTCATTATTATATAATAACAAATTTTAATTTCATTAACAAAAGAGACAATCTTTTAGAATATAAATGTACAAAGTCAGTAATTTTATATGTAATATAAATTTAGTATATAATACTAGGAAAACAAGAGAGCCTTTTAAAATTTTTATAGATCTGTATATTCAAGATATCTCACTACTGATGATTAAGGTAGACTGGCTGACCCAAATATGAATGTCATATCAGCAATTTAACCTATCACTTACTGAGAATCTACTTTATGCCAAACAGGAACCTTGCTAGATGTTGAGTGTTCAACAATGAATATGAACATAAATTTCTAGAACCAGAATGCTTGGCTTCATATCCTAACTTTGTGACTGTTAGCTATGTGACCTACAAAAAGTTACTTCTCTGTGCCTCCGTTTCTATTAGTAAAATAGTGATAACCAATGCTGAGGGGCGCCCCACCCTGGATAGATATAAACCTATGCCTTCTATGTTTTTTTTTAATTCATAAGAAACAAGGGAGATTTCCAGGTGGCAATGGTATTAAGGTTATAGCAGTTTTGTGCAATGAATAGGGGGATGCTCTCTTTCCATCTTTCTGGAAGAGTTGTACAAGGGGACACATCAGTCAGCATACTTTTTTTTGAGTCTGGCTGGGGCTTTTCTGTAAAATCCTCAAGTCCTGATGCTCACTTTGAGAAGACTTTTACAACTACTGATTCAATGTCTCCTAAGAACACACTACCACTGTAAGCTGTCCTAACAATCTCTTACTTTGGCCATTTACCGAGAAACCTTATTATTTAAAATTATAGACTACCAGCAACTTTACTGTTTAAATTGTTATCAGTAAAAATTCCAGATCTTGCCAGGACAATATAACTACCCCAGAATCAAGATATAAAGCATTTTCTGTAGTCTAAAACTTCTCTTTTGCTCCTTTTGATTAAGCCCTTCTAACACTACCAGTCCTGGTCAGATCAGCTTTCTGTTGCTACAGATTCATTTTGCCTTTTTAGAATTACAAACAAATGGAATCCAAAAATAAGGACACTTATATATCTTGTTGTGTATATTATCAGCTCATTATTGCTGAGTGGTACTCTTGTATAGCTGTAACACATTTTGTTTACCCATTCATCAGCTAATGAACATTGGGTTGTTTCCAGATTTTGGCTATTATGAATAAAACTTCTATGAACACTAATTGATGTTCACATCTTTTTTTTTTTTTTTTATTTGGGACCGGGTCTCACTCTGTCACCCAGGCTACAGTGCAGTGGCATGATCTCAGTTCATTGTAACCTCTGCCTCCCAGGCTCAAGCGATCCTCCCGTCTCAGCCTCCTGAGTAGCTTGGACCACAGGTGTGTGCCACCATGCCCTGCTAATTTTTCGTATTTTTCGTAGAGACGCAGTTTCATTATGTTGCTGAGGCTGGTCTCAAACTCCTGAGCTCAAGCAATGCACCTGCCTTGGTCTCCCAAAGTGTTGGGATTACAGGTGTGAGCCACCATGCCGGCCATGTTCACATCTTGGTATGAAAATATGTATTCATTGATCTTGAGTAAATACACAGAAGTAGAATTTTTGAGGTATACATTAAGTGTGTATTTAACTTTATAATAACTGTTGAACAGTTTTTCAAAAAGCTTGTACCATTTTATACCTTCACAAGCAATGTATGAGAGTTCCAATTTTCTGCGTTCTTACCAAGAGATGTTTTTATCTGTCATTTTGATTATAGCCATTCTAATGTACACTGTGAGAGGATCTAATTAAAGAGCTTCTGCACAGCAGAAGAAACTATCATCAGAGTGAACAGGCAACCGAGAGAATGGGAGAAAATTTTTGCAATCTACCCATCTGACAAAGATCTAATATCCAGAATTTACAAGGAACTTAAACAAATTTACAAGAAAGAAAAAAAACCATCAAAAAGTAGGCAAAGGACATGAACAGACATTTCTTAAAAGAAGACATTTATGCAACCAACAAACATATGAAAAAAAGATCAACATCATTGATCATTAGAGAAATTCAAATCAAAACCACAGTGAGATACCATCTCACACCAGTCAGAATGGTGGCTATTAAAAAATCAAGAAACAATAGATGCTGGCGAGGCTGTAGAGAAATAGGAACGCTTTTACACTGTTGGTAGGAATGTAAATTAGTTCAACCATTCGGCATGACTTGTGGCAATTCCTCAAGGATGTAGAACCACAAATACCATTTGACCCAGCAATCCCATTACTGGGTATATACCCGAAGGAATATAAATCATTCTACTATAAAGATACATGCATATGTATGTTTATTACAGCACTATTCACAATAGCAAAGACATGGAATCAACCCAAATGCCCATCAACTATAGACTGGATAAGGAAAAATGTACATATAATCATGGAATACTATGCAGCCATAAAAAGGAATGAGATCAAGTCCTTTGCAGGGATCTGGATGAAGCTGGAAGACATCATCCTCAGCAAACTAACACAGGAACAGAAAACCAAACACCGCATGTTTTCACTCATAAGTGGGAACTGAACAATGAGAACACATGGACACAGAGAGGGGAACAACACACACAGGGGCCTGTAGGTGGGGTGCAGGGAGGGAGAATATCAGGATAAATAGCTAATGCATGTGGGGCTTAATACTTAGGTGATGGGTTGATAGGTGCAGCAAACCACCATGGCACAGGTCTACCTATGTAACAAACCTGCACATTCTGCACATGTATCCCAGAACTTACAATAAAATACAATTAAATATAAATAAGTAAATAAATTGTTGAGCCTTATTTTATGGCCTAATATATTTTCTTTTTTGACTGTACATGTTTATTTTATTTTATTTTTCTATAGGAAAAGCTTCTTAGATCAGTTTCAAATGTTAGCATCTTTTTTTATTTCATGAATAATTTATTTAACTATTCATCTACACTTTTAGGTTGATTCTAATATTTAAGTTTTGGCTGACAATGTTTCTTTCTTTCTTTCTTTTTTTGAGACAGAGTCTTGCTCTGTTGCCCAAGCTGGAGTGCAGTGGCACGATCTCAGCTCACTGCAAGCTTCGCCTCCTGGGTTCACGCCATTCTCCTGCCTCAGCCTCCTGAGTAGCTGGGACTACAGGTGCCTGCCACCTTGCCTGGCTAAATTTTTTGTATTTTTAGTAGAGACGGGCTTTCACCGTGTCAGCAAGGATGGTCTCGATCTCCTGACCTCATGATCTGCCCGCCTCGGCCTCCCAAAGTGCTGCAATTACAGGCATGAGTCACCGCACTCAGCTATATATATATACACTTTATATAACCAACCGTGTGTGTGTATGTATGTGTGTGTGTGTATATGTATATATGTGTGTGTGTATATATATATAAAGTGTGTGTGTATATATATATATATACATTAAGTTCTAGGGTACATATGTACAATGTGCAGGTTTGTTACATAGGTATACATGTGCCATGTTGGTTTGTTGCACCCATCAACCTATCATCTATATTGGGTATTTCTCCTAATACTATCCCTCCCCCAGCTCCCCACCCTGGACAGGCCCCAGTGTGTGATATTCCTGTGTCCTTGTGTTCTCATTGTTCAACTCCCACCTATAAATGAGAACATGCAGTGTTTAGTTTTCTGTCCTTGTTGTAGTTTGCTTAGAATGGTGGTTTCCGGCTTTATCCATGTCCCTGCAAAGGACATGAACTCATCCTTTTTTATGGCTACATAGTATTCCATGGTATATATGTGTCACATTTTCTTAATCCAGTCTATCATTGATGGACATTTGGGTTGGTTCCAAGTCTTTGCTATTGTGAACAGCGCCGCAATAAACATACGTTATGTGTGTGTCTTTACAGTAGCATGATTTATAATCCTTTGGGTATATACCCAGTAATGGGATCACTGGGTCAAATGTTATTTCTAGTTCTAGATCCTTTAGGAATCGCCACACTGTCTTCCACAATGGTTGAAGTAATTACAACCAACAGTGTAAAAGCATTCCTATTTCTCCACATCCTCTCTGGCATCTGTTATTTCCTGACTTTTTAATGTTTGCCATTCTAACTGGTGTGAGATGGTATCTCATTGTGGTTTTGATTTGCATTTCTCTGATGACCAGTGACGATGAGCATTTTTTCATATGTTTGTTGGCTGCATAAATATCTTCTTTTGAGAACTGTCTGTTCATATCCTTTGCCCACTTCTTGATGGGGTTGTTTGTTTTTTTCTTGTAAATTTGTTTAAGTTCTTTGTAGATTCTGGATATTAGCCCTTTGTCAAATGGGTAGATTGCAAAAATTTTCTCCCATTCTGTAGGTTGCCTGTTGACTCTGATGATAGTTTCTTTTGCCGTGGAGAAGCTCTTTAGTTTAATTAGTTCCTATTACAAATAGGATCCTATTACCAATTTTGTCTTTTGTTGCCATTGCTTTTGGTGTTTTAGTCATGAAGTCTTTGCCCATGCCTATGTCCTGAATGGTATTGCCTAGGTTTTCTTCTAGGGTTTTTATGGTGTTAGGTCTTACATGTAAGTCTTTAATCCATCTTGAGTTAATTTTTGTATATGGTATAAGGAAGGGATCCAGGTTCAGCTTTCAACATATGACTAGCCAGTTTTCCCAGCACCCTTTGTTAAATAGGGACTCCTTTCCCCATTGCTTGTTTTTGTGAGGTTTGTCAAAGATCAGATGGTTGTAGATGTGTGGTGATATTTCTGAGGCCTCTGTTCTGCTCTATTGGTCTGTATATCTGTTTTGGTACCAATATCGTGCTGTTTTAGTTACTGCAGCCTTGTAGTGTAGTTTGAAGGCAGGTAGCGTGATGCCTCCAGCTTTGTTCTTTTTGCTTAATATTGTCTTGGCTACATGGGCTCTTTTTTTGGTTCCATATGAAGTTTAAAGTAGTTTTTTGCAATTCTGTGAAGAAAGCCAGTGGTAGCTTGCTGGGGATAACATTGAATCTATAAATTACCTTGGGCAGTATGGCCATTGTCACAATATTGATTCTTTCTATCCATGAACATGGAATGTTCTTCCATTTGTTTGTGTCCTCTTCTATTTCGTTGAGCAGTGGTTAATAGTTCTCCTTAAAGAGGTCCTTCACATCCCTTTAAGTTGTACTCCTAGGTATTTTATTCTCTTTGTAGTAATCGTGAATGGGAGTTCACTCATGATTTGGCTCTCTGTCTGTTATTGGTGTATAGGAATGCTTGTGATTTTTGCACATTGATTTTGTATCCTGAGACTTTGCCAAAGTTGCTTATCAGCTTAAGGAGTTTTTGGGCTGAGACGATGGGGTTTTCTAAATACACAATTATGTCATCTGCAAACAGACAATTTGACTTCCTCTTTTCCTAATTGAGTACCCTTTATTTATTTCTCTTTCCTGATTGCCCTAGCCAGAACTTCCAACACTATGTTGAATAGGAGTGGTGAGAAAGGGCATCCTTGTCTTGTGCTAGTTTTCAAAGGGAACCCTTCCTGTTTTTGCCCATTCAGTATGATATTGGCTGTGGGTTTGTCATAAATAGCTCTTACTATTTTGAGATACATTTTGAGATTTTATTTAGCATGAAAGGCTGTTGAATTTTGTCGAAGGTCGTTCTGCATCTATTGAGACAATCATGTGGTTTTTGTCATTGGTTCTGTTTATTTAGTGGATTACGTTTATTGATTTGCATATGTTGAATCAGCCTTGCATCCCACAGATGAAGCTGAGTTGATCCTGGTGGATAAGCTTTTTGATGTGCTGCTGGATTCGGTTTGCCAGTATTTTATTGATGGTTTTCGCATCGATGCTCATCAGGGATATTGTCCTAAAATTCTCTTTTTTTGTTGTGTCTCTACCAGGCTTTGGTATAAGGATGATGCTGGCCTCATAAAATGAGTTAGGGAGGATTCCTTCTTTTTCTATTTTTCGGAATAGTTTCAGAAGGAATGGAACCAGCTCCTCTTTGTACCTCTGGTAGAATTTGGCTGTGAATGCATCTGTTCCTGGTTGGCAGGCTATTAATTATTGCCTCAATTTCAGAACCTGTTATTGGTCTATTCAGAGATTTAACTTCTTCCTGGTTTAGTCCTGGGACAGTGTATGTGTCCAGGAATTTATCCATTTCTTCTAGATTTTCTAGTTTATTTGCGTAGAGGTGTTTATAATATTCTCTGATGGTAGTTTGTATTTCTGTGGAATTGGTGGTGATATCCCCTTTATCATTTTTTATTGCATCTATTTGATTCTTCTCTCTTTTATTCTCTATTAGTCTTGCTGGCAGTCTATCAGTTTTGTTGATCTTTTCATAAAACCAGCTCCTGGATTCATTGATTTTTTTTTTTTGAAGGGTTTTTTGTGTCTCTACCTCCTTCAGTTCTGCTCTGATCTTAGTTATTTCTTGCCTTCTGCTAGCTTTTGAATTTGTTTGCTCTTGCCTCTCTAGTTCTTTTAATTGTGATGTTAGGGTGTCGATTTCAGATCTTTCCTGCTTTCTCTTGTGGACATTTAGTGCTACAAATTTCCTCCTACACACTGCTTTAAATGTGTCCCAGAGATTCTGGTACGTTGTGTCTTTGCTCTCATTGGTTTCAAAGAACATCTTTATTTCTGCCTTCATTTCGTTATTTACCCAGTAGTCATTCAGCTGCAGGTTGTTCAGTTTCCATGTAGTTGTGTGGTTTTGAGTGAGTTTATTAATCCGGAGTTCTAATTTGATTGTACTGTGGTCTGAGAGAGAGTTTGTTGTGATTTCTCTTCTTTTACATTTGCTGAGGAGTATTTTACTACTGATTATATGGTCAATTTTAGAATAAGTGCAATGTGGTGCTGAGAAGAATTTATATTCTGTTAATTTGGGATATAGAGTTCTGTAGATATCTATTAGGTTTGCTTGGTCCAGAGCTGAGTTCAAGTCGTGGATATCCTTGTTAACCTTCTGTCTCATTGATCTAATGTTGACAGTGGGGTGTTAAAGTCTCCCATTATTATTGTGTGGGAGTCTAAGTCTCTTTGTAGGTCTCTAAGGACTTGCTTTATGAATGTGGGTGCTCCTGTATTGGGTGCATATATATTTAGGATAGTTTATCTCTTCTTGTTGCATTGATCCCTTTACCATTATGTAATGGCCTTCTTTGTCTCTTTTGATCTTTGTTGGTTTAAAGTCTGTTTCATCAGAGACTAAGATTGCAACCCCTGCTTTTTTTTTGCTTTCCATTTGCTTGGTAGATCTTCCTCCATCCCTTTTATTTTGAGCTTATGTGCTTCTTTGTACCCTCAGCATTTGCTTGTCTGTAGATATTTGGAGAGTTTCAGGCATTATTTCCTTGACTGTTTTTTTCTGCCACATTGCCTTCTTCTGTTACTCCCAGTTATACAGATGCTGCTGCTCTCAGTTCTCTGAGGCTGTATGCATTTATTTTATTCTTTTAAAACTTACGTTCTTCACATTAAATATCTTTTTTATTGAGTTTCTCTGATTTGTTTCTTCTAGGTCAAAGCTACTGTGGAGTTTTTTTTTTTCATTTCAGTGAATTTTTCATTTCAGTTACAGATTTCAACTCCAAAAATTTCAATTTTTTAATAATTTCTAAATGCTTATTAATATTCTGTATTTAAATTCTATTTTTCTTTATTTTACACATGGTTTCTCTAGTTCTTTGCACATATAGTAACTTCTTTAAATCTTTGTCTACAATGTCTAACATACAGGATCTTTCAAAAGTATTATCTATTGCCTGATTATCTTTTCTTCATTATGGATCACACTTTCCTTTTTCTTTGCATGTTTCAAAATTTCTTCCTAAAAATTGGATATTTTATGTAATGTAGTGCAGTCATTTCTGACTTTCACCCTGGGGCTTGTTATTGTTGGTTAGTTTTGTTTGTTTAGTGGATTGCTCTAACTAATTCTATAAAGTCTATTCCCTGCAAAGTATACAACCTCCGATGTCAGTACTCAGGACATTTTGTTGTTGTTCTTTAAAAAATTTTTAAGCTTAGAATTCTAGAAGTTGCTCCTAGGTCAGTATAAGTTAGTCTTCAACCAGTGAGTGATGGGTTAGGGATTGTGTTTAAGCCTTCTGAACCAGTATGACTTCTATCCATTTCAGGAAGATTTCAAACCTACACTGCTGTTAGCCAGGATTAACAGTTCTCCAATTGCTTCAGTGTGTGTGTACACAGCCTTCCAAACCACTAGGGATGGGTATGATCTTATTAGGATCTCTTGAGGCTGTCTTTTTTCCTCATGTTCTTGTTAAAATTCTGGCAGTTCTGTTGTTTTGTTTGCTGCTATCAGTATCCAATTGCTTCCCTAATTGTTTAAATTGTTTACCACTATGACCTCATTTTATTTATTTTTTATTTTTTATTTTATTTATTTTTTTAAGGAAGGTTGCCTCCAGACAGGAGTTCCTATACTCTGTTTCCAATTAAGTCAGCTCCCTCAGGCAGTGCTGTGGAGCTGGCAGTCCTCAAGTCTGGCTTTCCCCAGAGCAGAAGCTCTGCTCATTGTGCTGGAGCTAAGTGCATGGATGGGATGAGATACAGTCTGCTTCTCCCAGACTGACTCCTTTACCCTAAGTTGGAGCTAGGCAGTATGGTAGTCCCTATTTTCCTTTGGAAGAGTATGGAACTTCTACCCTATAAGCATGGCAATAGAAGCCTTAAGTCTCTTTGGCCTACAGTTCATGGCTTGCAGTGTCTGACCAGGAAAAAGCCTTCACCCTATGAGTGAGAGCTGGGCAGAGAGCTATCTTAGCTGAACCCTTCTGGAGTAGATTATATGGAACATAGATCTTGAAGGAGGTTATAAGGGAGCCTTATCTGCCCCTCCCAGAGTGAAACCATTGCCCTACAGCTGAGAGGTAATGGAGGGAGTAGGGTGAAAAATGCCACCCTCTTCTTGGCCTTGCCTGCCTAAAATAAACCTGCAACACTGACTAAAAGTTGGGAGTGGTGATGACAGCAGTTTCTGGCTCAAGTGCCACAGACTACCACTGTTCTTACTGAAATTCTGAAGTTTTTTTTTTTTTTATAAATGCTTCTCAACTTATTGCCTCTTCTTAGCTCAATTTCCAGAGACATTATTAAATAATTTTATTTTTGGTAATTTGTGCCAGTTTAGTGATTCCTTTATTAGAAGGTCTGCAATCTCACACAGCCAACGTCTCATTTCTCTCTCTCTCTCTCTCTCTCTCTCTCTCTCTCTCTCTGTGTGTGTGTGTGTGTGTGTGTGTGTGTGTTTGTATATATATATTTCTGTATAATTCTACCCTTCTGAGTCTATGGCTGGAAATCAGAACTTTCACTTCTCACCTCCTTTCTTTAACCTTCCTTAGCTCTCCTTACAAACATAGAAGGGTTGCTACAGCCTCTTCTATTAGTGTAGCATTACCCTTATAATAAAGACATAAAGGGAAGTTTCTAGAATTAAAAGCAAACATGTCTTTCAAGATGACTGTCATGGGCTTACTTTCTAAAAAGAAAGTTCAGTTTGACTATTAAAGATGAGCAGTATTGTTGTTCTAGTCTGGTAAATCACTTTCTCATAAAGCACGGAAATGCTTCTGTTCAACAAATTGGGAATCGCAGGATATCATGATTTAAGTTGAATTAATCACAGGATACTATGATTTAAATTTTAACTATAGCAGAATAATGACGTTGGCTTAGATAAAATAATAGGCAGATTAATTTTAGCTGAGGAGGTGGAAGATGATTTGGAAATGAACTGTGCCAGCAGTGAGTAGATGACTCACTTTGATGCTCCAGATCTATAAAAAGCCCAACTCCTGATTCAGTTGGCTGATCAACAACAGTTGAGTGACTCAGGAGGAGTAATCATTAGAGGAAGAATGGTGGGGCAGATTGACTAAAGAAAGGCTGACCCATATCATAACATGACATGTCATCTGCTTTTAAGCCCACTGTGTTAATTAGGGGCACTATTATTCCCCAGCCACATAAAATTGAAAAGCAAATCACTTAAATGTTCTTATTATATAATATTTGAAGCATATAAGAGCATGTATGTTTGGTAAGAAGCATTCTTATAAAATTAACATGCATGCATCCACCATATTTAATAATAAAAACATTACCATTAGCTTTGCATATACCTTTATGCTACCCCCATGAGTAAATAGATTGCTGAATTTTATTTGTATTTATTTGGCTTTTAGATTTTCTGTTTAATTTTTACAAAAAAGGAAACATTTACAGCCTTCTATGACTTAATTTTTTATAACTCAAATTACTTTTATAAGCATTATGTTATAGGTAGCTGTAGGTCATTTAAAAATATTTTAATTATTTTTGAAATATAATTCACATACTATAAAATTCACCTGTTTAAAGAACACATTAATTGGTTTTTAGAAAATTCTAAAGATTGTGCAATCATCATGACTATATAATTTCAGAATATTTTCACCACAAAAAGAAACCCATACTCTTTGCAGTCACTCCCAATTTCCTCCTTTTCCCAGCTCGTGGCGACTACTTTTTGTTTCTATGTATTTTCCTATTCAAACATTCCATTTTGTTTCTGTATTGTTTTATGAATCAGTACTTAATTTCTTCTTACAGTTGAATAATATTCCATTATATGGATACACCATATTTGTTCATTTATCAGTTGATGGACATTTGAGTTTTTCTACTTTTTGCCTATTTTGAGTAATGTTTTTGCAAACATTCATGTTCAAGTTTTTGTGTAAACATATGGCTTTAATTATCTTGGGTGTTCCTAAGAGTAGAATTTCCGGGTCATATAGTAACTCTATATTTAACTTTTTGAGAAACTGGCAAGCCATTTTACAAGGTGACTACACAATTTTCTATCCCACCAGAAATGTATGAAAGTTCCAATTTCTCAATATCCTTGCCAACACTTGTTTTCTATTCAAAAATATTGCCAATTTAGAAAATGTGAAGTGGTGTCTTATCGTGGCTTTGATTTGTACTTTTCTAATGTTGAACATCTGTTCATGTGCTTACTGGCTATCTTTGGAGAAATATCTATTCAAATCTTTTGCCCATTTTAAAATTGGGTTATTTATCTTTGTAATGCTGGATTATAAGTGCTCATTATATATGGTGAACGCTAGTTTCTTATCAGATACATAATTTGCAAATATTTTCTCATATTGTGGGCTCTTTTTAAAAATACTTTCTTTACAGTAGCTTTTGGCATATACAAATTTTAAGCTTTGAAGAAGTGTAAGTTACCTATTTTTTCTTTGGTTGTTTCATGTTTTTGATATTACTTCTAGGAAATCATTGCTTAATTCAATGTCAAAAAATTTATGCCTATATCTTTTATGACATTTATAGTTCTAGCTCTTAAATCTGTCTTTGAATCTTTAGGTAAGATAGGGGTCCAAATTCATTAATTTGCCTGTGTGTATCCAGTTGTCACAGCAACTGTGTATCCATTTGTTGAAAAGACCATACATTGGCTGTTAGAAAGGCAATAAACAACATGCTGGCAAGGCTGTGGAGAAAAGGGAACACTTATACACTGTTGATGGGGCTGTGAATTAGCTCAGCCATTGTGGAAAGTAGTGTGGTGATTCCTCAAATAACTTGAAACAGAATGACTATTCAACCCAGCGATCCCATTGTCGGGTATATACCTAAAAGAATATAAATCATGCCGGGCACGGTGGCTCATGCCTGTAATCCTAGCACTTTGGGAGGCCGAGGCGGGAGGATCACGAGGTCAGGAGATCGAGGCCATCCTGGCTAAAATGGTGAAACCCCGTCTCTACTAAAAATACAAAAAATTAGCCGGGCGCGGTGGCGGGCGCCTGTAGTCCCAGCTACTCGGGAGGCTGAGGCAGGAGAATGGTGTGAACCCAGGAGGTGGAGCTTGCAGTGAGCCGAGATTGTGCCATTGCACTCCAGCCTGGGGTACAGAGCAAGACTCTGTCTCAAAAAAAAAAAAAAAAAAAAGAATATAAATCACTCTACTATAAAGACATATGCATATGTATGTTTACTGCAGCACTGTTTACAATAGCAAAGACATGGAATCAATGTAAATGCCCATCAATGATAAAGTGGATAAAGAAAATGTGGTACACATACACAATGGAATACTATGCAGCCATAAAAAGCAATGAAATCATGTCCTTTGCAGTAACATGGATGGAGCTGAAGACTATTATCTTAAGCAAACTATTAGGTTGTTGCAAAGTAATTGTGGTTTTTGCCATAAAGAGGTAAATGGCAAAAACCGCAATTACTTTTGCACTAACCTATTAAACAGGAACAGAAAACCAAATACTGCATGTTCTCACTTATAATGAGAACACATGTTCAGAAAGAGGGGAACTACAGACACCAAGGCCTACTTGAGGGTGGAAGGTGGGAGGAGAGAGGATCAGATGACATATCTATTGGGTACTATGCTTATTACCTGGGTAATGAAATACTCCATACACCAAACCCCTGTGAACATGCAGTTGCCTATGTAACAAACTTGTACATGTACCCTTGAACCTAAAATACAAGTTAAAAATAAATAAATCTTAGCTAACAACAACAACAAAAGACCATTCATTTCTTTATTGCATAGTGTAGTGGGTCAAGTAGTAACCCCCCCTGCCAAAAAAAAGATGTGTTCATGTCCTAATCCCCAGAATTTGTGAATAATACTTTATTTGAAATCCAAATGCTGTATTTGGAAACTTAAATACCTAATTTGGATCTTTGCATATGCAATTAAATTAGGGTTTTTGAGATGGGATTATCCTAAATTACCCTCATGGGTCCTATATTCAATGACAATTATCTTTAGAAGTGACAGAAGCAAAGTCACAAGCACATAGAGGAGAAGGTGTGATGTGAAGATAGAGGTAGAGATTGGATGGATTGGGCTGCAAATCAAGAAAGGCAGTAACCACTAGAAACTGTAAGAGTCAAAGAACAAATTCTTGCTCAGATCCTCTAGAGAGGATCTTGATCTTGCCAACACCTTGATTTCAGACATTTGACATCCAGAACTGAGAGAATAAATTTTTGTTAAGTTACCCCATTTATGGTAATTTGTTACAGCAGCAACAGGAAACTAATACAAAAGGCCTTAGCATGCTTGTCAAAAATGAATTGAGCATAGATGGATAGGTTTACTTCTGGATTCTTAATTCTGTTCCCTTGATAGATAAGTCTATTCTTATGCAAGTCTCACACTGTCTTCATTACTGTAGCTTTGTAATAGGCTATAAAATCAGGCAGTGTGAGTCCTTTAATTTTATTCTCCTTTTTCAAGATTGTTTTGACTATTCTGATTCTCTTGCAATTTCAGAATCAGTCCATCTTTGTAAAAAGGCAGATAACATTTTGATAGGGATATTATGAAATCTGTAGATCAATTTGGGAAATATTGCCATCTTTAAAATATTAACCTTCCAATCCATGAGCACAGTTTTCATTTATTTTGGTCTTAATTTTTTTCAAAAATATTTTGTAGTTTTCAGTATGTATGTCTTATGTCTTTCATTAAATTCTTATGTACTTTATTGTTTCTGATGCTATTATAATTGGACTTGTCATCTTAATGTTATTTTTAGATTATTCATTGCTAATATACAGATATAAACTGATTTTTATATCCTGCAACCTTACTGAACATTCTTATTAGCTCTGGTATACTATTAATGTTTTGCAGATTCTTTGAGATTATCTATAAGAGTATATCAAATGAAAATAAATATAGTTTATTTTCTTTCCAATCTGGATGCTTTTCTCTGCCCTACCCCTCCTCCCCAGGATCCTGCCTTTCAGAAATATTTCTGGCCTGATTTCGCCGTGACTAGAACCTCCAGTACCATGTTGAATGGAAGTAATTAGAGTAGAAATTTGTCTTGTTCCTCATTTTAAAGGGAAAGCTTTACCTTTAAGTATGATAATAGCTGTAGTTTATTGTCTTTTTTTTCTTTTAGATGACCTTAATTAGGTTGATAAATTTCCCTTCTATTACTAGTTTGGGTCTTTTTTATCTTTAAATGGTGTTAGATTTTGTCAAACATTTTTCTGTGCCTATTGAGATACTAATGCAGTTTTTTTCCTCCTTCATTCTATCAATATGGTATACTACATTTATTCTTCTTCTTTTTCTTTTGTATGCTAAATCAATCTAGCATTCCTTGGATAAATCTCATTTAATCATGGTGAATAATCCATTGTACATGCTACTAGTTTGGTTTGCTAGTAATTTTGGGGCAGATTTTTGCCTCTGTACTCATTAGGGATATTGGTATGTAGCTTTGGTGATTTTTTTGTGTATGTGTGTGTGTGATGTCTTTGGTTTTGATATCTGGCCTCATAAAACGAATTAGAAAGGTTTCCATTCTCTTCCATATTTTGGAAGTGTTTTTAAGGTATTGGTAGTAATTCTTCTTTAAATGTATGGTAAAATTTACTGATGAAGCCATGGGGACCTGAGCTTTTGTGTTAAAAGTTTTAAAATTACTAATTCAATCTCTTTACTTGTTCTAAGTCTATGTACATTTTTCGGTTTCTTCATGAGTCTGTTTCAATAATTTGTCTCTTTCTTGAAATTTGTCTATTATATCTAGGATATCTAATTTGTTGGCATATAATTATCTTATTCTCTTATAATCTTTTTACATTATATTCTATAATGTCACCCTTTTCTCTTTTCTGTTTATATAAAGTAATAGAAGGTAGCCATGTCTTGCTATTTGAACACTGCTTCTCATTCACACCTTCTCCAAAAGGCTTTCGAGTTAAAAATGACTATAAGTCAAAGACCACCTCAAAAGTATGCCTATAAGACCCTTTATGAAGGTTTCAGAAAGACTTAAAGGCATGTCTCATAGAAACTCTCAGTTAGACAAAAAGCCTTCCAGAAAATTTTAAGATATTTTCCTACAGCCATTTTGACCCTATCCCAAATCCAAGAGAGCCTGTGTTGAGAGATTTGTGGTGTGGCTTTTATTTAGTATAGTGAAACTTACTAAGATTCACAGGGATCCCACAAAGTTTATATGAGAATTGCATTAGTACTGTGAACTTGAAATAAAAGGAATAGACATATTAAAAAGAAAAACAAAACAAAAACCAACCCATAAGCCCTCAATTCTCTGAGAGTAGAAAGAAAGCTGATAATGTTGCACAACAGCCAAAATGTTTTTCTTGTTATGGAAAATAAAAAATAAACAAGAAGAGAGTTCCAAGAACCCGGGAAGTGAATGAAAGAGCCAGAGAGAACGATTTAATATTTCCAAGGTAGGACTGGCCCCTAATCAAGACACTGCCAAATGTGCTTTCTTTTCCCCCATTTTTAAATGGGAGAGTCCATTGCAATCATTTAGTCTGTTATTCCATTGTGTATTAGTTATTACGGAGGGGAAGTAGAGTTTTTGGTTTGCTTTTGTTTTTAGTTCACAAATCTTCAGGTTGAGAAGAGTCATACTCAGGTATCTTCACTGAAGAGTATCGTCTGTATTTGCACGTGATACAGATGACACTATCTAGACTGTAAGGTCCTGTTTGTCTAAACCAGAGCTGAGGTGAGTTAATTCCTTTTTAGAAGCTCTGAGACTCCATGTAAGAAGTTCAAGAACCCTGAGATGACCATGCTGGAGAGGCCGGGTGAGATATCTCTGGGTACTTGTTCCTGTTGAGTATAGTCTTCCTACTTTACCTGTGAGGGTGCTAGCTGTGTGATTGAGCCATGGTGGGCCATGCAGCCATTATGAGATATGAGCCAAATTATGAGATACTGCCATGATTGTTAGTTTAAAATTAGTACTAAGTTTTGGGGTAGTTTGTTATACAGCAATAGATGATGGAAACAGAATTCTAAAGATATAATTGTCCAGGTGTAAAATAAAATATATGAAAGGATATTTATTGTAGCACTGAAACAATCTCAATACCCTTGAATAAAAGACCAGTTAAATAAATTGTGGTACATATATGCACTGGAAAATATACGCAGCAGTTTAAAAAGATTGAGGATGCTTGTGTTTCATTAATATAGAAATATCTTCAAGATATATAATGATGAAAACAAAATGCAGAACAGTATGTTGAATATGTGACTATTTGTATAAAAAATGGAGTGCAGGAGTATATGTGTTTGAATGGGCACAAATATATCTGGAAGAACAGACAAAAAGTAATCATATTGGTTGCCTGCAGGCCTGGGTGGCTTCTGAATAAGAGCATCTATAAAACTTCTGTATATTCTTTTATAGTTTGTCATTTTTGTATCTTGAACGATGAAACTGAGTTATAAAGATGAAATTAACACACGGGTAGGATTAGAGAAACTTTGGGTATACTAGTCCAGTAGTTATAACGTGACTCCTCACTAGCTTTCTTGACTTCAATCAGGCCTTCACTTGGTTGCAATTATTTTACTACTTCTCAGTATGAAACTTGATCTTACTGTTTTTCTTTTTAAAACTCGTCAAACCTTTACCTTCCTCTCAAAAACTCCAAATTCCTGACTATGATATTTAAGGTTAGTCTTAATTTGTTCTATGTGTCATTCTTCAGCCATGACCTTCCATCACTACCTACTGCCAACATTTTACCTTCTGGCAATAATTAATTATTTGTAGTTCCTTGATAGCTTCATAATCTGTCATATCTTCATGCTGTTGTATATTCTGTGCCCACTGCCCCTGGAATTACCTCCTCTTTCTTTCTCCTTTCTCCTATGAACTACATCCTATCCTCTCAAAATAATACTCTGGTATCACTTACTTCACAATCTAGGAATTAGAATGAATCATTTACTCTTTTGCAAATATATAGACTCTTTTTTTGCAATTCTCAGTCCATAAAATATTTATTTTATTTTTACATCTCTCATTACTTTTAGATTAGCATGTCCTTGAAGGAAGAAATAATCTTTCTGTGCCAGTTTCAAACTCAGCCCCTGGCATACAAAAAGTTCTCAGAAGCCAATTGCAAATGAAACTAAAAAAATTTGACACATATAATTTGGCACAGTCTTCCATCTTATTCTTGAGATTTTGTATTAAGTTTGAAAACACTATCAGAACTAGTGTCTCCTAATGGTAGTGTTGCGCCCTTTTTACTCCTGTAGTTCAGTGGGCAGGAGTGTTACAGCTCTTTTACTCCTGCCACCTGCAACTCAGT